>NC_000022.11:30527745-30679260 GCF_000001405.40 Homo sapiens | reverse complement strand
ATGGGAGAGAACTGGGGGAGACTTTAAAAAGGCATATAAAGAGGGAGCAGAAGTTCTAGTTTCCGTTTGGTCAATGTGGGTGCTAATAAAGGCAGCTCTTAAGCCATTTCAAACAGATCATGAGGCAGATTCAGATGAGGAAGAGGAGGACAAGTGTAAAAAACTAACTTCAGATTCTGAGTGTGAGGAACAGCTACCGGAGGAGATGAAAGAAAGGAAAACTGAAAAAAGTATGTTTTACTAGCCTGTCGGCTCCACCTGCTGAATTAAGTGAATGGCCACCTCCTCTCTCTCCCTTTAATGGGCAAGAAAATAAATTAGCCGAAAAACTTACTGCTTCTGTAGTTGCAACATTAAAACTGGAGCAATTGGTGGTGCTATACAAAATTCTATTCAAAAAGCTAG
Source organism: Homo sapiens (assembly GCF_000001405.40). Lineage (NCBI taxonomy): Eukaryota > Metazoa > Chordata > Mammalia > Primates > Hominidae > Homo > Homo sapiens. The sequence goes on along the minus strand of NC_000022.11, from coordinate 30,678,855 downwards.
AGCTGAGGGAGACCTTGAAGCATGGCAATTTCCCGTTACTATAATCCAGTAGGGAGGCAGGGCTAATATAGCTAATTGGGCTACTTTTCCTTTTAAGTTACTAAAGGAATTGAAGGACGCCATTAGTCAATACGGACCGAACCCTCCTTTTGTGCAAACTTTAAAAATATGGCTCTGATAATAAATTAATACCATATGATTGGGATACGTTGACAAAATCTGTTCTCACTCCGTCTCAGTATTTACAGTTTAAAACTTGGTGGACTGATGAAGCTCAAACTCAGGCAAGGGAAAACACACAAGTGCAGCCACCTGTGCCTGTTTCCTTTGAACGGTTAATGGGAGTTGGCCCCAACTGGGGTCGATTAGAAAATCAAGCAGTAATGAAGGATGTTGCCATTGTTTAGCTGCACTTTGTGTGCTTACAGGCATGAGAAAGGATAAATGTTACAAGGGAAAAATATCCCTCTTTCAGTTCTGTCTGACAAGGACCCAAAGAACCATATATTGATATTATTGCTTGACTCCAAGAGGCTGTGTATAAAGCCATAACTGATAAAACAGCACAGGATGTTGTAACACAGCTTCGTGCATACGATACTGCTAATGCAGAGTGTCAAACTGCTATTTGACCCCTGAGAGGGAAGGCTTATTTAGCTGAATATATTAAGGCTTACGATGGCATTGGAGGTAACTTATATAAGGCTACTCTTTTAGATCAGACTATGGCTGGTTTAAGAGTAGGAAACAATATGCCCCATTTCTCAGGATCTTGCTTTAATTGTGGGCAATTTGGACACACAAGAAAGGAATGTAGAAAAGGAAATCAAAAGGCAAAAACTACCATCAATCAACAGAAAAGTCCCGGTGTATGTCCCCGGTGTAAGAAAGGCAATCACTGGGAAAGTCAGTGTCATTATAAATTTAGCAAAGATGGACAACCTCTTTCGGGAAATGGGAAGAGGGGCCCGCCTCGAGCCCCTCAACAAACCAAGGCATACCCGGCACAGCCAGTACCCTTACAAACGTACAACAGTTGTCCCCCGCCTCAGCAGGCAGTGCTGCCATAGATGTCTACAGCACAATTCCCATCTCCTTACTTCCTGGGGAGCCACCAAAGGTCCCCACGGGAGTTAGGGGACCCTTACCCTCAGGAACAGTAGGTCTATTATTTGAAAGGTCTAGTCTGAATTTAAAAGGTGTTACTGTACATATGGGAATAATCGACTCTGATTATACTGGAGAAATTAAATTAGTTATTAGTTCCTCGACTCCGTGGTCTGCCTCCCCAGGAAAAATGATTGCTCAATTGTTGCTGTTACCTTACATAAAACTAGGAAGAGTACAGTGAAAAGAACAGGAGGCTTTGGTAATACTAATCCAGCAGGAAAGGCTGTGTATTGGGTTAATCAAGTGTCTGACAAAAGACCTATTTGCACAGTAACTATTCAGGGAAAAGATTTTGAAGGACTAGTAGATAACTGGAGCTGATGTCTCTATTATTGCTATAAATCAATGGCCCCAGCACTGGCCTAAGCAAAAGGCATCCATTGGTATTGCTGGAGTAGGAGCTGCCTCAGAAGTTTTTCAAAGTTCTTTGATTTTACCATGTCAAGGGCCAGATGGTCAGGAAGGGACATTTCAGCCTATCATTTACACCTATTCCTGTCAATTTATGGGGTAGAGACTTATTGCAACAATGGGATGCTGAAATATCTATTCCTATGGATCAATATAGTAATAATAGAGGACAAATGATGAGAAATATGGGATGTTGCCCAGGAAAAGGACTAGGAAAAGATAAAAATGGCCAACCAGAACCTTTAGAATTAAAAAGGCAAACAGATTGGACCGGATTGGGGTGTCATTTTTAGGAGCGGCCATTGTTGAGGCTCCGGCTCCCATTCCTCTTGTTTGGCTAACGGCCAAACTGGTTTGGGTGGAGCAATGGCCACTGAAACAGGAAAAACTGGAGGCTTTAAAAGAACTGGTGCAGGAACATTTGCAAAAGGGACATATAGAGCCTACTTTCTCCCCTTGGAATTATCCTGTATTTGTCATTAAGAAAAAATCAGGGAAATGGAGAATGTTAACAGATTTAAGGGCTGTTAATGCTGTGATTCAACCCATGACTGCAGCTGAACAACACCTGACAAGACAAAAGGCAAATAAAAAGGTTGGACAAGATATGTGGTGGAGGGATGCACAAAGCGCTGGGAAAAGGAAAGATAATTTTATGGGGAAGAGGATTTGCTTGTGTCTCTCCAGGTGACAATCAGGTGCCTGTGTGGGTGCCCACCAAACATCTGAAGATCTATCATGAACCACAGCATCTAGTGGACCCACCTGTACAGTGCAAATTGAAGGTTTAAGGATTGCTTTTAAGTCTGGATTTGCTTCGTCTGTGCCTTCTGTTGTAAGGGGCTTGCTTCTCCTTATCAATGGTAAGTTCCACCACGTGGTAATTAACCAAAGAGGCCGAAGCTGAGTTACAAATGCTTCCGCAATGGCATGCCTCGAGGCTACAGCCACAGAAGTTTTTGCTTCTGTTTCAGTAGATTTACTAACGTGGGGGTGAGGGTATGCTTGTGTTTTTGCAGGAGATGAACAAACCGTGTAGGTGCCCTCAAGATGTGTACAACCATGGACTGGGTTCCCCCAGTACGAGCCTTGCTGAGAAACTGCTGGAGTGCCAAGGTTTTACCTGTAGATGCTTAATGGACCAATGCTTTCTGACTGAACTCCTCTCTACCCTGAATACAAGAGACCCTAATAGGTAGGCAGGAGTATCATTGCCCCTATTCAGCATGAAGAAGTTACAGAAGACGGACCTTCATCCTTCTGCAACCCCTAGGATTAAGGGTCCTCTTGTAAAAGAGAAAGGGGAGATACGTAGGAAGCATTCAAACCAGGGCGACTCCATTTTGAATAAGGGCTAAGAAAAATGAAGCTGGATCACCAACCGGCAATTAAGCGCTACACAGCCTGCAATTGCCTTGCTCAATTTTAAAAAGAGGCCACCTTATGCTAGTAATAATGATAGCTGTGGCGGTTTTTACAAAAAAGAGAAGGGGGAGGCATGTTGGGAGAAGCACTGAGTGTTGGGAGAGCAGGTGAGGCAGGGCTTGCATGTCTGCTAGACTTGCCAGCCCCTTGCTTCTGGCACTCCCATTATCTCAAGCAGCCATATGTTTCTCATTCACTCGATACACTGTTTCAACCCCCACATCCTCACCACCTGTTTCTTTGTTTGAGCACCAATAAATAGCGCGTGCTCCCAGAGCTCGGGGCCTTCGCAGCCTCCACACTCGCCATGACCCTCTGTTCCCACTTTCTCTTTCAAACTGTTTTTTTCTCATTCCTTTGACTCCGCCAGACTTTGTCGCCCCCAGGACCTGGTGTTGGGTCTGATCACCCCAATAAAAGAGTGTACAATCTAATCAGGAGCCAGGACAGATACTCAAACAGCTACTATGCAAGGCAGAATGAAACCACAAGTAATCCAAGTTCAGAGGGGAGAGGAAACGTTCCCATATGACATGGGTGGGTTATGGGCAGAGGTGGGCAGGAGACAGGAGGAGGTCAGAAAATGCTGTGTAGGAGGCCGGGCATGGTGGCTCACGCCTGTATTCCCACCACTTTGGGAGGCCCAGACAGGTGGATCACTTGAGGTCAGGTGTTTGAGACCAGCCTTGCCAACATGGTAAAATCCCGTCTCTATTAAAAATATAAAAATTAGCCAGGTGTGGTGACACATGCCTGTAATCCCAGCTACTAGGGAGGCTGAGTCAGGAGAATCTCTAGAACCTGGGAGGTGGAGGTTACAGTGAACCAAGAGTGCACCACTGCACTCCAGCCTGGGCAAGAGTGAGACTCTGTCTCAAAAAAACCAAAGAACAAAAAAAGAAAATGCTGTGTAGGAAATGGCATTGAGACAAACCTTGAAGGATGAAGAGAGAGCTAAAGAGGCATTCCAGATAAATGGTCTTCACAAATAAAAGTACAATGTGGGGACTATCAGGGTGTCGTCTGGAGCAGGCAGAACGGGGAGTGGGGACCACTGGAAGGCCACTGGAAGCCACCATGATGACAGTCACTGGAAATGATGAGTCCTAGGCTGAGCACTTTATATCCTCACGCCAGACCTTGGAGGTAGGTTCCCTTACTACTGCAACATTCTTTCAGATAAGGAAACGGAGGCTCAAGGAGGTGACAAGGCCACACGGCTGACTGGTGGTAGATACAGCACCTAAGCCAGGTCCTTCTGATGCCTCCCCCACACCTCCTTACCACTGGAATGCCAGGCAGTGGCATTACTGGGGCCTTCCCATCTAAGGTACCACTGTCCCGGCACACCTCACCTAGCATGTCACCTCAGACAAGTGGGCACCGAGAGGTCAATCTTCACCTTAACCATGGAAGCTAGCTTGATCCTGCCTTTTTGAGGTAAGCATCCATGGGACTATCAGGACCTCCTTCACCAGAATAGAGGGGACGCATGGGGAAGGAATATGAGGATTGCTGAGGATTTGTTATGCCCTGCTGTCTGCTGGTCTCTGTCTATTGTTTTACAGTCATGTAGCCTGGCTATTTTCTAGTTCTCCTCTGATCACACTAGTGTCATCGTGGCCCTGGGGCAGATCCCTTTGCCAGTACTAGAGTGGCTGGTCTTTCTTGGGAGACTGGAGTTTCAACTATTCCTGGTATACACAAATGTTATCCAAGTACTGGTGGATGTTCATGGATTCCCGTCTCCAGTGCCCCAGCTTTCTGAGCTGGTCTGTCATAAAGTTTTTATCAGGTGGTCTGATCTTCATTAGTGGCTGATCTCCTTATTGCTCTTCTCTAAAGCTCTCTCCACACTATATTCATTCCATAAATACTTTGACTCACAGGGAGTCTATTTATTTGTAAAAAGTGGGCATTAAGCTAGGTAACTCCAAGGCCCAGCGCAGTGGCTCACACCTGTAATCTCAACACTTCGGGAAGCCAAGGAGGGCAGATCACTTGAGGTCAGGAGTTTGAGACCAGCCTGGCCAACATGGTGAAACTCCGTCTCTACTAAAAATACAAAAATTAGCCAGGCGTGGTAGCGCACGCCTGTAGTCCCAGCTACTCGGGAGGCTGAGGCAGGAGAATCACTTGAACCCAGGAGGCAGAGGCTGCAGTGAGTTGAGATCACGCTGCTGCACTCCAACCCGGGTGACAGGGAGACTTTGTCTCAAAAAAAAATAAATAAAAAATAAAAAAATAAAAAAAAGTAAAAGGAAGCTTCTGGACAGCTGAAAGTTGGCACAGCCCTCAGGTATACATAAAGCCAACTCAGGAGCTTCCAGTTAAGAGTAGTTCACAGTTCCTTGCCCCACCTAAGGTGTACGACATTCCCCACCCAGTTGGCCCCGAACCTATCGTGGGCCACTCAGAATACCCCACACCACCTGGCCACAGTGATTAAAACAGGGATGGGCCCATGAACCAACTGGGGCCAACTGGAGTCCTTCCTCAGGATTTGTCTAACTGGAGCAGCAGTGGAAGTACTTCTTGTGGTCTACAGGCCAAGGTTTCCTGTGGCTCTGCTCCCCAGGTTCAGCCAGCCTGATAATGATACTGGTGTTCAGAAAGCCACAAAGGGCTGGGCACGGTGGCATATGCCTGTAATCCCAGCACTTTGGGAAGCAGAGGAGGGCAGATCACTTGAGCCCAGGAGTTTGAGACCAGCCTGGGCAATGTGGTGAAACCTCATCTCTACTAAAAATTCAAAAAATTAGCCAGGCATGGTGGCATATGCCTGTAATCCCAGCTACCTGGGAGGCTGAGGTGGGAGGACTGCTTGAACCCAAGAGGTTGAAGCTACAGTGAGCCTCATGCTACTGGCCTCCAGCCTGGGCAAGAGTGAGACCGTGTCTCAAACAGACGAGACGGGATGGGACGGGACGAGACGAGACACAATATAAAGACAATGAAGACAGAATGGAAGACATACCTGGTGGTAGTACAGCCCCTGGCTTCTCTCCCCTAAAACATTGGCGACTGTGCCCTATCCATCCTTGATTATGTAAACCCAACTTCTCTATTTTGCTTGAACTAGTTCAAGTTCAGTTTATATTACCTGCCACTGAGAGGATCTTAATAGATCCTATTTTTACAAATGAGAAAGCAGAGTCTGGAGGAAGTGTGATTCACCCAAGGTCACACAAAGCTGGCCTGCCCATCTAGTTCCACTACATCCCACCATTGGAAGTTTAGCAGAGGCAGAAATGCCCAGGTCTCTGCTCTGCTTTTGTCTTTGTGACCTTCAAGAGGATCTGGCACCATCTCTTAAGGATCTCCAACTGTTTTTGATGTTAGAATCCTGTGGGCCCATCCAGACTTGACCCTGGAACATGGAGAGAAGTCAACAGAGTCAAGAAGGGGCAGAAGCTCAACCCTGGGCTTCCTGCTCTGTTTGAAAAAATGAGTATGTTATTGGTGTCCATCTTTTTCATGTGTCTCTTCCTAGCACCCAACACAGTAGCTGTCCCAAGCAGGCCCTAAGGACAGGTTTAATGAGTTCATCAATTAGGGTCTATGGGAACAGTAGGTGACAGCACTCAGGCTTTTGAGTAAGCCTGAGTCAAACTCTTACCTGTCCATAAGCAAAAAGTGGGAGAAGAGCCTCAGTTCTCATCTGGAAAATGGGGATAATCCCCAAAGGAAAAAACTGACAAGATGCTGTTAATGCTGATTCAAACTCTAGGACCCAAGACCTTAGTTTTTTGGGGGTTTTATTTATTTATTTTTGCTTGTTTGTTTTTTTGTTTTTGTTTTTTTTTTTGAGACGGAGTCTTGCTCTGTTGCCCAGGCTGGAGTACTATCACAGCTCACTGCAACCTTCACCACCCGGTTCAAGCAATGCTCATGTCTCAGCCTCTCATGTAGCTGGTATTACAGGCACCCACCACCATGCCCAGATCAGTTTTGTATTTTTAGTAGAGACGGGGCTTCGCCACATTGACTAGGCTGATTTCAAACTCCTAACCTCAAGTGACCGTCCTGCCTCCCACAAAGTGCTGGGATTACAGGCATGAGCCACCGCGCCCAGCCTAGAACCCAAGACTTTGTATGGGAGAAAATAAGAATCCATTCATGGGTTCCCTAGAGAGATAATGTGCTTTCAGGAAAAACAAAAACAAAAACAAAACCAAGAGACATGGAGTCTTTCTAGCCTCCTTAGCCTAGGAACAGGTGTGACACCTTGGGCAAGTCAGTAACCCTGAGTGTGAATTGCCTCCTCTGTAAAACGGGGCCTGCCTTAGAGCACCTTGGGGACTTCCTATCACCTTTATGATCCCCCAGGATATAGAGAGAATGAAATGAATATGGGTCAAGCCACTAACACCCTCTAATGCAAAAGCTTGTGGCTACTTTACCTGCACCTCATGGAGTCGTTGTGCTATGAGCTTGTCATAAAAACCCACCCAAGATAAACTGCTCTTTTTATATGAGTAAAAAATTTTTCACTGCTGCTTCACTGGAATCATTAAGCTGGAGCGGGGAGGGAAAGGTGACACAGGTTACAGATGGCTGAGGCCAGGGCCAGAGCAGATTTGACAGGGTCCTGGGGGAGTGGCTGAGGCTTCCCCGGGTATCTTAGGACAAGTGCAGCTCTGTTACAATTTTCAGAGAAGCAAGGGAGTAACCACAGTTTCTTCTTGTGGAAAGATATGCTAAAGGGGTGTTTCATGGACACCCAGAAGAAAAGCAATTCTGTGTTTGTAAAAGGGCCCCAGTGCAGTCCACAAGAGAAGGGTTATCAGGAACTCAGAACCATCTTCCAAAGCAGTCTTTTGTTTTTTTGAGATGGAGTTTCATTCTGTCTCCCAGGCTGGAATGCAGTGGCACAATCTCGGCTCACTGCAACCTCCACCTCCCGGGTTCAAGCGATTCTCCTGCCTCAGCCTCCCGAGCAGCTAGGATTACAGGCATGCGCCACCACACCTGGCTAATTTTTGTATTTTTAGTAGAGACGGGGTTTCACCATGTTGGCCAGGCTAGTCTCGAACTCCTGACCTCAAGAGATATGCCTGCCTTGGGCTCCCAAAGTGGTAGGATTACATGCGTGAGAGCCACCATGCCCACCCAGCCAAAAGCAGTCATCTTGATGATCCTTCTTAAGGATGAAATGGGAGAGAGGGGTCTTAGAGGGGAGGAGTAAAAGTTGTAGAGTAGGGTTCGAAGGATGAATTTGAGAGGTGTTTAGCTTGGGGAGCACTTGCTCTAGACCCTGTGCCTAAAGGGGATCTGGGAGGCGGGGGCTTGGGGGAGTATAGATCAGAGCAGGGAGAAATAAAAGTAAGAGTTTGGACAGATGTTAGGCTGGTTAATAGGGGAATTCCAGAAGAAGGTTTGGGGAAAATTTAGAATAGGGAGGTGTGGGGTGGACAGGGGTTTTAGGAGACTCTGAAAGGTGAGGTGAAACATGGGGTGGGGTGGGGTAGAATGGAGCTAGGTACTCCAGGTGAAAATATAACAATCTGGTCAAAATGAGGAAATGCTGAAGAGTGGATATACTTCTAAGCACTGCATTTTCACTTTTTGATAATTTGGTTACACCATGAAGTAGTCTTACAAATAAATACCTTTAAATGGTTTTGCCCATTTAAAAATAATTCTTCAGGATCAGGCACAGTGGCTGAGGCCTATAATCCCAGCACTTTGGGAGGCCAAGGTGGGCAGATCACTTGAGGTCAGGAGTTCGAGACCAGCCTGGCCAACATGGTGAAACCCCATCTCTACTAAAAATACAAAAATTAGCCGGGTGTAGTGGTGAGCACCTGTAATCCCAGCTAATCAGGAGGCTAAGGCAGGAGAATCACTGGAACCCAGGAGGCAGAGGTTGCAGTGAGCCAAGACTGTGCCACTGCACTCGGGCCTGGGCCACAGAGCTAGACTCTGTCTCAAAAAAAAAATTGTTCATATTTTCTTTCTAAAATGCGGAAACAAAATCTACAGTATGGAAGCAATTGAATAAATTTTGGTATGTCATAAAATAAAATACATGTAATTGTGTATGAAACATAGACGGGTGGTATATTAGATGGGAGAAAAAAGCAGGTTACTAAAAAGTGAACTTTTGTGATGTATCTTTTTTAAGTATAAGCATGTTGTAACATATATATATATATATATATATATATATATGAATGGATTCTGATCAAAATACACCAAAATGTTAACAGTGATTGTCCCTAGCCACTTATGCTGCTGGCCTGTCTTGTCTTCTTTTTATTTCTTCGAGACGGGGTCTCACTCTGTCCCCCAGGTTGGAGAGTAGTGGCACAATCTCAGCTCACTGCAACCTCCACATCCCAGGCTCAAGTGATCCTCCCACCTCAGCCTCCTGAGTAACTGGGACCACAGGTGAGCCACCAAGCCCGGCTAATTTTTTGTATTTTTGGTAGAGATGGGGTTTCACCCTGTTGCCCAGGCTGGTCTCGAACTCCTGAGCTCAGGTGATCCAACTGCCTCAGCGTTTCAAAGTGAAGTGGTGGGAATACAAGCGTGAGCCACCATGCCTGTCCTCATTTTTCTATAAGTGTACACTACTTTTATAATTGGGTCAAAAAAGACAACTGTAGAAGGATAAAAAATATTGAAGGACTAGTTTTTCTAATGCATTTTCAGCCTATTTGGAACTGGAGTGTTGTGAATGTTTTCATATTTACAAACTAGTATGAACAATCCAACTTCTCAATCTCTCATTTACATTTTTCTGACCTCTATGCATAGCCTAGGTGTGAGGTGATGGAAAAAGCTGGTTTAGAGATCAAGATGCTCAAACACAAAAGTCCCCCAAATCCTGAGAGTTTTTTGTTTTTTTAAAAAAATCCTTAAAACATTTAAAGACGCATAAAACTCTTCACCCACTCAGTGGTGCAAAAAATTTACCAATACTAGAAGGGGAGGAGGCTGGCAACGACTGGAAATATTCCCTTTCAAGTAATAAATAATGGTTATTTTGAACCAAATTGCTTTCCACCTCAAGTCCTCCATGGATGGGAGCCTGGAGGATGCAGTGATGGGGGTTATGGAATGGAAAGGAGCGTGGGTAATTGGGTTTGTGAGGATTGGGGCCAGGCAGAGGGAACTGGGGGCTTTTCCAGGACCACTGGGGAACACAGAGGCTGAGAAGGGGAGTGTGGGATGGGTTCGAGCTGGGGAGGACCTCGGCCTCGCCAGGCTCTAAGGAGAGTCACAGCTCACCACCTAGGGCGCTGGGACCACACGATGTCATGCCTGGGAGACTGAAGGGCTAGGACAGATTCTGAGAAAATGTGGACTGGAGATGGGGATTCCAGGTTCTCCCGGGAGTCCAGGCGAGGGAGTTCCGGCTTCAGGGAGTCCCAAGAGCTAGACTGGGAAGGGGCTGGTGCCCAGGACTATGAGAAATCCAGACTCCCCTGGGGTGTGAAAAAGGGCCGAGGTCCGGCTGAGGGAGAGCGAGTCTGAAAGAGTTCGGGCTCCCTTGCGGGTCCGAGAGTCTAACGAAGGCTCTGGGCACCCAGGCCGCACCTGAAGAGCACCAACGACTGCTCGGTCCGCGGCGCGGGAAGGAGATGTGCGGCTGAACCCCTACGCCGATTACTTAGCGGCGGCCCTATCGAGAGGGTGGTTCGAGCCCGAGGTGGCGCCGGTCCCGTAAATCGTGGAGGATCTCAGGTCCCCTGTGACCAAGGGCGTAGTCAGCTGTGTCATGGCGGCTTCCCTGTTCGAGAAACAGTTGGAAACTGGAGGCCGGTTGGGAGTCATGGTCGTTGGGCGCACGGAGGCCGGTTGGAAGCCATGGTCGTTGGGCGCCAGGAGGCCGGTTGAGAGCCGTGCTCGTTGGACGCGCGCAGACCTGGAGTTAGTCCCTGGGCGGAACCTGGAGCCCCGCGCGGCGCGTTGCCTGGGAGACGCATAAGGGGGCGGGGCCGGGGAGGGAGTGTCGCACATGCGCACAGAGCCCGGGCGGCTACGGAAGCGGTGAGACTGTCTCTCGGCTGCAGCCCTGGTGCGACCCGGCCCGTTGCCGTAGAGATGGGCAGGGCTGGATGGAGTGGGGTGCGGTGAGCTGAGCTGACCCTGCTTCGCCACGGGGACTGCAGTGACCCCGGCTTGCCGGCAGGGCGGGTAACAGGTTGAGCCAGGGTGGGGCTGCTCAGGGGCGTGGAGCCGAGGCCAGGATTTCTCTGAAGACCCGGCACAGGCTATTCCTTTCTGCGACGAGCCCATTGCTATGGAAACCAAAGCGTTAGGCCAGCGGGGATTGAGGCTGCGGGATCATGACGGGTCTCTCTCCCGAAGAACCTTGCCTAAGGCTTCCCCAAGCGGCTACTTCCTGAGCGAACCCGCCCACCCGCCTGAAGGAGAGAGGTAAAACCCTGGGGGTCCTGACACTAAGCAGGCGAAGAAGCCTATTCCAATGCCAGCTCCCCTAGGAAACCTACCCGGCCCACCCCTAGAAGTGATGCTTCGCTCTCGTTAACTCTTGGACTTTGTTCCATGTTTATAACTTAGTATTTCACGAACGCCCCGCGGTGTTTGTTCATTTTTCCCACACATAATGGACCATAAAGGTCGGCTTCTTTGCTTTATGACTCGTTCTGAACAAGTCCTTTTCCGCGCTGTGTCTCACTTTCCTCTTTTGTAAAATGGAAATATTAACTCTAGACGCCGGTCTGATTAGGTTGCTTTGAAGATCGAACCAGATGAGGGAAGCCAAATACTTCATAGGCTGTAAAGTGGTGAAGCTGAACTGCTACCGAGTTGCTATTTTTTTCTCCTCCTCCCTCTCAAGCTAAACGTTCTTTAGATCTTTTGTGATTTCTTCAGGTGGTCTTTGCGACTCCCTAGGCTCCGACCTGGAAGAAATCTTTTTTACACTTCCCTTTCACAGAGCCCTGCATTTTAACTTCCCTATCAGAAGCGAGAAAAATAGTTATCATTTTGAGAGGGCTTACTCTATGCCAAGCCCTGAGAAAACTCTTTACGTGGATTATCTCGTTTAATTTCACAACATCCTTTTAAGGTAGGTACTGTTATCCTATTTTCAAGCTCTGTCTGCCTGTAATTGCCTGTTTACTATCTGTTTCTCCCACTAGTCTTTGAGCTCCCTGAGAAAAGGGGCCATGCCTGTCTTGTACATTTCAGTATCTCCAACACCTAATACAGTGCCTGATAGAGATTGCTTTTTTTTTTTTTTTTTTTTTTTTTGAGATGGAGTCTCACGCTGTCTCCCAGGCTGGAGTGCAGTGGCACGATCTTGGCTCACTGCAGCCTCCGCCTCCCGGGTTCAAGCAATTCTCCCGTCTCAGCCTCCTGAGTAGCTGGGACTACAGGCCCATGCCACCACGCCTGGCTAATTTTTGTATTTTTAGTAGAGACGGGGGTTTCACCATGTTGGTCAGGCTGGTCTTGAACTCCTGACCTCAGGTGATCTGCCCGCCTCGGCCTTCCAAAGTGCTGGGATTATAGGCTTAAGCCACCGTGCCCAGCCCTGATAGATATTTCTTAACTAGCATGAAAATGACTCCTCGCATCACTACCCTCACCTGCAAGAGCATTGTCACTTCTGCAGACTTTTAGTGGCTATAATGAACAGCACATTCCTCTATTCCCGTTACCCACTGGGCACTGGTTTGGGGGGACATCAGTTCACTTCTCTATGGATTTTCTGATGACGAGGATCCAGAACATTCCTTAGCATTTAGACTTCCATCTGGGTTCAGGAGGCTTTTTCTTTGCCCTTCATATCACCTCTGTAGCAAGCCAGCCCTCTCTGTCCTTCCGGGAATGAGCCTGATGCATTTGAGTCTGGGGCATTGGCAGGTAGGATTTGCCTATACAACCTTTGGTCTTTCTCTTTAGTAGCCTCAGAACCACCCCCATCCCCACCCAGCCCCTCCCTGGAATTCTGGAGACACGCTGCCAGAGAACTCATTCTTTCCAGAAAACCTCTCAGAAGGCAGAGTCATAGCTGTTGGGAGTCATTTCTTCATTCAACAAATATTTATCAAGCACCTACTTGTGGGGACACAGCGCTTGGCACTAGTTGGTGATAGAGTGGGAGTGAAGACAGACACCATCATATCCCTAAAGGGCTCACAGTCTCTTGGGGAGACAGACATTAATCAAATAATCAGACAGATCGGAGCAAAACTACGTCTTCAGTAAGTGTTAGGAAGGAGAGAACATAGGGCTAAGAAAGCCTGGAGCAGAGTTGGTCAAACGTGAGGGAGGGGTGTGATCTAAGGAGATTTCCCTTAAAACAGTTACCTTTAAGTTGATATCTTAAGGCTCCTCAGACTTCTGCAGTCCTCTGCTGAATGGACCAGATCAGGATCTGATGGGTTCATAAGGAAAGAGACTGAGAGATCAGCAGGGGCAAAGGCCACTGGCTGGAGAGGACAGGTTGTCCCTAAGGAACTGTAAGTGGCTCGGTTCACCTGAGGCCCTTCAGAGCATGGAGAAGCCTAATAAGAGGCTGGAGAGACAGGCAGGAGCCAGGTCACAAATGGCCTTGACAGCCAAACTAAGTGGCTCCATCTTATCCTCACAGTGGATAGCCACTGAAATATATTAAGCAGGGAAACAAAACTTTGGCTCCTCATTTCTCGTGCCTGGTGAAGACTGCCACTTGGCCTTGAAAGGTGTGATCTAAATCCAAATGTCCCTATTTCAGCGGAATGTATAAAGATGTCCTGGTTTTTGCAGCTTTGTTTAAGACTGAGAAAGTGAGGGTCCGAGAGTCTAATGAATGCTCTGGGCACCCAGGCCGCACCTGAGGAGCACCGACGACTGCACGGTCTGCGGCGCGGGAAGCAGATCTGCGGCTGAACCTCTACCCCAATTACTTAGCGGCGACTGAGCCTATCGAGCAGGTGAAGGGAAGGGGTCTGCCTCTCCCTGGGGTGTGTTTCACAGCTCTGCTGCAGGCAGCATGATGCAGGTGTGGCAGGTCTTCCTAAGGCCCTGCTGTCTCTGTGCTTGTCCCTGGGGTTGCTGTGGTGCCCATTATGCTGGCTTCCAGGAAGCTTTCAGCCACTCCCTTTCCCAGGCCTTCTTCAGAGGCAAGGTGCAGGAGCATGTCTAACAATTTAGGACTTTGTATTTGACATCAGCTTCGCATGGGCATATCCTGTCTCTTTAAAGAGATGGTTCTTAGAGGGGGAAAATGGGAACCCTCCCTACTCTTATACCAGCCTCCTCAGTGACTGCCAGCACAGTGGGCTCTGGTTCCATGCCACTGGCTCAGGACCTTATGATTTGGGCATAAAGTCAGAAGACTGAGGAGGAAGACTGTACAAATGGTTCCCACTCAGAGGGGCTGGAAGGAAGGAGAGAATTTGGAAGAGCAGCAAGAAAAGGGCTCTGTGAGCTTAAATGGAGAATCAGGCCAAGGCACAGCTGAGGGACACAAGTCATCTGCCCAACTAGAGCTGTGGGACCCCTCAAGGGAGGCCTCAAGTGCCAGACTTGGGGACTTGCCATTTGTCCTATAGGGCAGTGCACATTAGACCACCTGAGAAGCATGCTGAAAATGCAGATTCATGCTCTTCACCCCGAGAGTCTGACTGTGGGTTTGGAGAGGGACCTGGGTATCTGTACTTTAAATGAGTTTGCTGGGTAGTTCTGCTGTGATGGTCAGAGGACTGCCTTGGGGAATGCTATAAGCCTATCCATCCATTTCCCAGGGATCCCCTGGAATTGGCCCTCTGGGCACCTGCCCTCTAAACATCCTCTCCCTCTCTGCAGTTTTCCATGGACACAGCCTAGCAGAAAGACGCAGCCTTCGTGCTTCGCTGACTGCTGACCACTGACCCACCGCCTTGATGACAGCACCCTCGTGTGCCTTCCCAGTTCAGTTCCGGCAGCCCTCAGTCAGCGGCCTCTCGCAGATAACCAAAAGCCTGTATATCAGCAATGGTGTGGCCGCCAACAACAAGCTCATGCTGTCTAGCAACCAGATCACCATGGTCATCAATGTCTCAGTGGAGGTAGTGAACACCTTGTATGAGGATATCCAGTACATGCAGGTACCTGTGGCTGACTCCCCTAACTCACGTCTCTGTGACTTCTTTGACCCTATTGCTGACCATATCCACAGCGTGGAGATGAAGCAGGGCCGTACTTTGCTGCACTGTGCTGCTGGTGTGAGCCGCTCAGCTGCCCTGTGCCTCGCCTACCTCATGAAGTACCACGCCATGTCCCTGCTGGACGCCCACACGTGGACCAAGTCATGCCGGCCCATCATCCGACCCAACAGCGGCTTTTGGGAGCAGCTCATCCACTATGAGTTCCAATTGTTTGGCAAGAACACTGTGCACATGGTCAGTTCCCCAGTGGGAATGATCCCTGACATCTATGAGAAGGAAGTCCGTTTGATGATTCCACTGTGAGCCATCCCACGAGCCCCTGCATTGGAGTCAGAGGTACAGATCTATTGTTGATCTTACACCAAGATCCAAACTTGAACATTCTACTTTTGTTGATACAGAAAAAAACAGATGATGCCTTTTATGAGCACAAAAAAGAGTTGCTGTAGCTTTTAACTTTATAATCCATTTTTTTTAAGATTAAACTAATTGTGAGATGGTGAAGATAAATTTTCTGCCCTGTGAGTGACACTGGCCAGGGGATAGGTTGAGGCAGATGGTGCCCAGAAGAAAGAGGGCAGCACCCATTGCACATGGCAGGCCTGGAATCCTGCAGCCCTCCCCAAAAACAGATTGACCCAGGAATGAATCTGCTACAATTCCACCTCATTCTTTCACACCCAGAGCCAGAGCCTTAAGCATCATGGTACCTCTTGCGCTTCTTACAGTGAGTGCCAATCTACTAGATAAATGGCCTTCAGGCAGTGCTCCAGGAATCCTGGGGGGTCCCAGGCCACCTCTGCTTCCACCTTCACTATAAGTGGCCCAGTTCTGGTTTTCTAGATTGTACTTATGCATAAGATAGTTTTTAAAGAAAGCATTCCACTGTGTAAATTTTTTTTTGTCTTTTTTTGAAACTGTCCTGCTCTGTCACCCATCCTAGAGTGCAGTAGTGTGATCATGGCTCACTGTAGCCACAACCTCTCAGGCTCAAGTGATCCTCTTACCTTAGCCTCCTGCGTGGCTGGGACTACAGATGTTTGCCACCATGCCCGCCTCATTTTTTTTCTTTTTTTATAGAGATGAGATTTTACTATGTCGCCCAGACTGGTCTCAAACTCCTGGCCTCAAGCAATCCTCACGCCTCAGCCTCCCAAAGTGTTGATGAGCCACTGTACCCCGATACCACTGTATAAAAAATTTAAAAAAAATTGTGAGTGCTATTGTACATGGCAAAGTTTCAAAGAGCTCTTGGCCATCCCTCACCAAACTTTGGCAAAAGATGGTGTTAGTCCCCTTCTCCAGGGCACATGAGAAAAACAGGCCTAACATCAGGTCTCAGCGGTTCCTCTCACAGGCCTTGGCTTGGAAGGCTGGAGCTTCGGACCAAGGCCCAGCCCTGTCACCTCCTCTTCATGTGATGTGGACCCCTGGGAGCATCAGTGTCCTCATCTGTCCAATGACAGCCCTTTTCTCACAGAGTTATTGTGAAGATTCAACAATTTCTTGGCATAGTGCCTGGCACATGGTGTGTGCTTAGCGCAAATGGCAGCTCTCATCATGAATGATAGACTCTTTCACCCTGCTGGTCCCAGGTCGGCACACACATCCCCATAATGGCATTTCTCCTTTCTGTGCACAGCACTTTATTGTTACAAAGTACTCTTCCAAAAAGTTACCCTGTGTGTAAAAAAAAAAAAAAAAAAAAATGGTTTAAGTCCTTTCAGACCCTACCTCACAGGAGGCCTAGACTTAGAGCCTTTTGAGAGCTTCCGTCTTGTTTAATCTAGGTGCAATCTAGAGGTCCTGAAACAAGGAGCACAGTTCCAGCTTCCCCCAATCACTTCTAAACAGTGACTGCAGCCTTGTTTAGAATCACTATGAAAACCTGCACCCCGGCTGACTACTGGGATCCATAAGGGGGCCGTGTCAAAGGGACTAACTAGTGGACTCCATCAGTAGGCCCTGGAATTCAGGATTGTTCACATCCTCTTGGTGCCAAGGACCTGGCTGAAGACCAGCTCTTCTGATCCAGAGGTTTTCAGCAAACAGCATTTGAAACAAAAGCACAGCTGCTCTGTTTGACACCAAACTGTGGCTCCAGATTCCAGTAGAAGCCAAATGCTTTTTCTTTTAACAGCTGGGTGCCTGTAATCCCAGTTACTTGGGAGGCTGAGGCAGGAGAATTGCTTGAACCCAGGAGGCGGAGGTTGCAGTGAGCCGAGCTTGCACCATTGCACTCCAGCCTGGGCAACAAGAGTGAGACTCCATCTCAAAAAGAAAAAAAAAAAAAAAGAAAAAGAAAAGAAAAAAAGAAATGCTTGGGACCAGAAATATTTTGGATTATTTTCAGGTTAATATTTGCTTTACCTGAAGCAAATATTACTTGAGCATCCCAACTCTAAAATCCAGAATGCTTAAATGAGTATTTCCTTTGATAGTCATTTCAGCTCTCAAAAAGTTTTAGATTTTGAGCATTTCACATTTTTGGATTTGAGATCCATGAATGGGTCTCAAACTATATTTCACTTGGCGGGGGGGTGGCTATTGTAGATTTTTTTTCCAATTGCTCATTATTAGTATATAGAAATACAATTGAGGCCGGGCGTGGTGGCTCATGCCTGTAATCCCAACACTTTGGGAGGCCGAGGTGGCCAGATCACTTGAGGTCAAGTGTTCGAGACCAGCCTGGCCAACATGGCAAAAGCCTTGTCTCTGCTAAAAATACGAAAGCAGGGCGTAGTGGCAAGTGCCTGTAATCCCAGCTACTGAGATTAGAGAATGAAACAGGAGAATTACTTGAACCCGGGAGGCAGAGGTTGCAGTGAGCCAAGATCAGGACATTGCACTCCAGCCTGGGCAACAGAGCAAGACTCCATCTCAAAAAAAAAAAAAAAATTGTTCTATGCCTTCTGGCCTCCATGGTTTTTTCTCAGAAATCCAGAGGCATTCTAACTATTGTTTCCCAACAGGTAATGCTTTATTTTTCCCCAGCTGCTTTTTAAGATTTTCTCCTTGTCTTTGGTTCTCATCAGTTTAATTATGATGTATATGGACATGGATTTCTTTCGGTTATCCTTATCAGAGTTCACAGAGCCACTTGATTGTGTTTCAGATATCTGGGAAGTTCTCAGCTATGATTTCTTCAAGTATTGTTTTCTGTACCATACTGTCCTGTACTTCTGTGTCATTGATAACATGAATGTTAGAGCTTTTGACATTGTCCGTGAATTCCTGAGACTATTCATTTTTTAAAAAATTTTCTCTAGGTGGGTGTGGTGGCATGCACCTGTAGTCCCAGCTATTTGTTGGGGCTGAAGTGAGAGATCACTTGAGCCCAGGAGGGAGGTCAAGGCTGCAGTGAGCCAAGATCGTGCCTCTGCTCTCCAGCCTGAGTGACAAAGTGAGACTGTGTTTCAAAAAAAAAATTTTTTTCTCTCTGCTGCTCATTTTGGATAATGTATTAGTTTACTCTTGGTGCTGTAACAAATTACCACAAACTTAGTGGCTTAAAACAACATCCATATATTTTCTCACAATTTCTATAGGTCAGAAGCTTGATTGGACTTGACTAGGTCCTCTGCTTAGAGTCTCACAAGGTCCAAATCACGTTTCATACGGCCAAAACCAAATGTGTTTTTCCCTGGAGGCTCTGAGGAAGAATCTGCTTCCACATTCATTTGGGTTCTTGGCTGAATTTAGTGTATTGCAGTTGCAGGGTAGAGGACCCTGTTTTCTTAGCTGTCAGCTGGGGGTTGGCCTTTTCTCTGTAGAAGCTGCCCACATTCTGGTGCTTTCTACGTGTGCCCCTCCAGAAATAGGTTGAATTCTTCTCACACTTTAAATACTTCTAACTTTTCCTTCTGTTACATCTAAGTCCAGCCAGAGAGAATCACTCTGCTTTAAAAGACTCATGTGATTAGAATGAGCCCACTAACATAAAAATAAAATCAGTTACATCTGCATAAGTTACATCTGCAGTCTCCTTTGTCATATAAAGTAACATTCACATTTTCCAGGGAATAGGTCAGAAACATCATTTCCAAATCTTGATTCTTATATTTTCTTAGTTCTAAAATTCTTATTTAGCCTGTAATCCCTGCACTTTGGGAGGTTGAGGCTGGTGGATCACCTGAGGTCAGGAGTTCGAGACCACCCTGGCCAACATGTTGAAACCCCGTCTCTAAAAATACAAAAAATTAGCTGGATGTGGTGGCGGGCGCCTGTAATCACAGCTACCCGGGAGGCTGAGGCGGAAGAATCGCTTGAACCCAGGAGGCGGAGGTTGCAGTGAGCCAAGATCATGCTATTGAACTCGAGCCTGGGCAATAAGAGTGAAACTCCATCTCAAAAAAAAGAGAGAAAAAAAGAGTCTTTTTCTGATAATTCCAACATCTGGGTCATCTCAGGGTCCAGACTTTCCTTGTTCTTTGTGTGTAATTTTGATTGTATCCTAGGCATTTTGAATAGGTCTTGTTTAAATCCCACGGAAAATGTCAGGTTTTTGTTTTAGGAGGCAGTTGACCCTCTTCGGTTCGATCCTCATCTGTCTCCTGTGGGCTATTGTAGTTCCAGTATCAGTTCAGTTTCTTCTTTTTTTTTTTTTTTTTTTTTTTGAGATGGAGTCTCGCTGTGTCGCCTAGGCTGGAGTGCAATGGCGCAATCCCAGCTCACTGCAAACTCCGCCTCCCAGGTTCACGCCATTCTCCTGCCTCAGCCTCCCGAATAGCTGGGACTACAGGGACCCGCCACCATGCCTAGTAGAGATGCGGTTTCGCCATGTTAGCCAGGATGGTCTCGATCTCCTGATCTCGTGATCCACCCGCCTCAGCCTCCCAAAGTGCTGGGATTACAGGCGTGAGCCACCGCGCCCAGCCGATCAGTTCAGTTTCAAAGCCTTTGCCATGTAAATCAGAACAGTCCTAAGCTTATGCCCCCCAGTGAGCAGTCTGAAACCTGGGTGTTCTGCCTAATAGTTCAGTTCTCATTCACTGGAATACTGCTTAGGGTCAGGTCCATGCATGTGAACCTACAAATTCATGTGCAACTTTATGGGATCTATTTCACAAGCTCTCTCCTGTCCACATTCTCCAGCTTTCAAGACCCCTCATTTTCCTGACCCTTTAGCTAGAAATTGGGTCCTTTAGTCTCCCTGCTTGTTACGCACCCTCCATGGCGGGTGTACTCTTGGGCCAGGTGACAGGATGAAGAGAGAAAAAAGGCAACGGAGATTCCCCTCTTCTACTTTTCAGATTGCAGATGCTTTGGACAGATGAAAGGATTCCGCTTTGTCAGAGTTTTAGGTGCTTTTCTGGCCACCACTGTTACTGCTGCTACCCCCAAAAAAAAAAAATTTTTTTTTTTCTAGAGACAGAGTCTCATTGTGTTGCCCAGGCTGGTC
Organism: Homo sapiens; assembly: GCF_000001405.40. Taxonomy (NCBI): domain Eukaryota; kingdom Metazoa; phylum Chordata; class Mammalia; order Primates; family Hominidae; genus Homo; species Homo sapiens. The sequence continues at coordinate 30,658,338 of NC_000022.11, read as the reverse complement.
TCAAACTCCTGGCCTCAAGTGATCCTCCTGCCTCAGCCTCCCAAAGTTCTGGGATTATAGGCATGAGCAACCGCACCCAGCCTTGTTAATATTTCTTTTTCAGAGTCCTCAGATCCATTATTTCCAGGGCTTTTAGTTGCAGCCAGTGGGAGAGACAGACTGCTTACTCTATCTTACTTAGAACTAGAACCCCGAGAGATTCAGTTTTTTTTAACTAAAAAAAAAAATTTATTTTGAAATGGTCTTATTCTGTTGCCCAGGCTAGATACTGTGGTGTGATCACCGCCCACTGCAGCCTCAAACTCCCAGCCTCCAATGATCCTCTTACCTTAGCCTCCTGAGTAACTGGAACCTAGAGGTACTCAACACCATATCCAGCTAATCATTATTATTATTATTATTATTATTATTATTATTATTATTATTATTATTTTTGAGACAGAGTCTTGCACTGTTGCCCAGGCTGGAGTGCAGTGGCGTGATCTTGGCTCACTGCAAGCTCCGCCTCCCGAGTTCACGTCATTCTCCTGCCTCAGCCTCCCGAGTAGCTGGGACTACAGGTGCCCGCCACCACACCCGGCTAATTTTTTGTACTTTTAGTAGAGATGGGGTTTCACCGTGTTAGCCAGGATTGTCTCGATCTCCTGACCTCGTGATCCACCTGACTCGGCCTCCCAAAGTACTGGGATTACAGGCATGAGCCACCGCGCCTGGCCTATTTTTTAAATCTTTAAAAAATTTTTTTAGAGACAGCGTCTCACCATATTTCCCAGGCTGGTCTCAAATTCCTGGGCTCAAGTGATCTACCTGTCTTTGCTTCCCAAAGTGCTGGGATTATAGGCGCGACCCACTACACCCGGCCAGAATTTTTTTTTTTTTTGAGACAGAGTCTTGCTCTGTCACCCAGGCTAAAGTGCAATGGTGTGATCTCGGCTTACTGCAACCTCCGCCTCCTGGGTTCAAGCAATTCTCCTGCCTCAGCCTCCCAAGTAGCTGGGATTACAGGTGCCCGCCCCCACGCCCGGCTAATTTGTGTGTGTGTGTGTGTGTGTGTGTGTGTGTTTTTAGTAGAGACAGGGTTTCACCGTGTTGGCCAGGCTGGTCTCAAACTCCTGACCTCAGGTGATCCACCCACCTCGGCCTCCCAAAGTGCTGGGATTACAGGTGTGAGCCACTGCACCCAGCCCAGAAATTTATCTTACATGCTTATTCGTAGAAAAAGGAAAACAAATATGGTCCAGCCACAATATCCCCATCGTTGTAACCAAGTCAACATATTAGTATTGTGATCTAGTTCCTTCCTCCTGAGCATTTTTTTCATAGTTGAGTAAACATAATTTTCATTCCTCCTTTTTTAAGTTTTAATTACTTTATATTTTTATACAAAATAGAGATGGGGTTTCACTATGTTGACCAGGCTGGTCTCGAACTCCTGGGCTCAAGTGATCCTTCCTCCTCAGCCTCCGAAAGTGCTGTGATTACAGGCATGAGCCACTGGGCCAAGCCATTCCTCCTTTTTAACTCTCTTTTTAAATATTCAGAATTGGACATGATGAGACCAGGAGTTCATATCCTAAGTGGGAGAGGTTAAGGTTGAGGGCTTTTGAGAGGGTCCACGTCCTTTTCCCAAACAGTTCACACTGTTCTTTTGGACTCAGAGTAGAGCAGCCTTTTACTCAGACAACCTAGGAAGAAGGTCATGTTGAGGTTTGAATGCAGTCCTATAGTAGGGGAGAAAGAAGTGGTCCCATAGCCTACCAGCCTGGCTTAGAACAGGGATTCTAGGCCTCTTTTTGATTACATGAACCTTTAACTTTCTCACTCCAAAAGTGAGGAATCACTTTCTTTCCAAAGTCAATTAAATTTGGTTTGAGAAGTTTCTGTGAAGTTTATAATGCCCTGTCAGATAAACAGGGACATGCTGTTGGCCCTGAGGATTTCTCGGAATGATCTCTGTTGAGATGGCGATCTAATTACAAATCCCAGGGGCAGGTAGCTCTTGACCTTGAAGCACACAGCCCTGCTTTCCTATCCTGGGATGTTAAATCCAAATGCCCTTAGAGTCCAAGTGCAGTGGCTCATGCCTGTAATCCCAGCCCTTTGGGTGGCTGAGGCAGGAGGATCACTTGAGCCTGGGAATTTGCGATCAGCCTGGGCAACATAGTGAGACTCCTTCTCTACAAAAAGTTTAAAAAAAAAAAGCCCAGCATGGTGGTGCACACCTGTAGTCCCAGCTACTTGGGAAGCTGAGGTGGGAGGATCGCTTGAGCCCAAGGAGGTTGAGGCTGCAGTCAACTATGATGGCACCACTGCACTGCGTCCTCAGCAACAGAGTGAGACCCTTTTGCCCAGGATGCAGTGCAGTGGTGCCTCAATAAATGAATGAAAATAAGAAAAAAAAAAGTCCTAAGAATCCATTACTTTCCACCTCTGGATCGTGACCCAATATCACCTAAGAAGGAGCTTGGGAGGAATGTTAAGAGGTGTGGATTCTCATCCTGACTCTTCCACCTCTTGGCTTTGACTTCAGGCAGACCCTGGAATTTTTCTGAAATTTTGCTTACTCTGTTAAATGGGAATCACAATGCCATCCGTGCATAAGAAGGCACCCCACAGACCTCTATTTACAGAAAGCAGAATTGACTATGGGCTCCCAGCTGTGACACTGAAATCCATCATCATGTTTATGCTGAAACCAGATTCCTTGAGGCTCCTTCTAGCTAGTTCCTGGGTATGGAAGGGATACTAAGGCAGGCCCATTTCTGGGAGACATGCTAGACGTGCCCTTGGCAAAACATTTGTAATTACTTTTCCTGGAAGAAAAAAAAAAAGGATATTTTGTTGACTGAGCTATGCAATGCCAGGCTAGTGGCTTCTTTTTTTCTTTTTCTTTTTTTTTTTTTTTTTTTGGTAGGATCTCACTCTGTTACCCAGAGTGGAGTGCAGTGGTGTAATCACAGCCCACTGCAGCCTCCCATCTCAGCCTCCCAAGTAGCTGGGACTACAGGCGTGCACCACCATACTTGGCTATTTTTTTTTTTTTTCCGTAGAGACAGGGTTTTGCTATGTTGTCCAGATGGGTCTGGAACTCCTGGGCTCTAGCCATCCACCTTTCTCAGCCTCCCAAAGTGCTAGGATTACAGGTGTGAGCCACCATACCTGGCTGCTGGCTTCTTGTGGCAAACTGTCCCTACAACCCTGGGCCAGACCCTGCACAGCCCCTGTAACTTCACACCGTGGCTCTGTTCTTCATAGCAGTGTAGGGAGCAGAGAATAGCAGAACCCCAGGAATTAGGAGGGTGAAGTCCTAATCCTACTGCTCCCTCTGCACAAGGTCGTCTTGGTTCTTTCTATTCTTTGGGCTTCAGTTTCCTCATATGGACAACGAGGATTGAACTAGATCTGTGGTTTTCAAACAGGGTTCCAGGGAAATCTGGCAGAGGTACCTCAGGGGTGAAGGGGCCCCATGCCCTTCCCTGTTTCATCTAAAAATAGGGAACTCCTTTCCCAGGCGGCTGCCGAAGATGGCAGAGGGGCAGGTCCCGGTGCTCAATGGTCAAAGCTATCTCCTGGGCTTCCTGAGGGCCATGGTGGCTAAGCAGGCCGGAAGGTGGTGGTCGTACACTGCGGGGGCATCAGTATTTCTGGCAATGTCTATAGAAAGAAGTTGAAGTACCTGGCCTTCCTCCACAAGTGGATGAACAGCAACCCTTCCCGAGGCACCTACCACTTCTGGGCCCCCACCACTTCCGGGTCCCCAGCCGCATCTTCTGGCGGACCCCGAGGCATGCTGCCCCGCGAGACCAAGGAAGCCAGGCCGCCCAAGACCGCCTCAAGGTGTTTAACGGCATCCCACCACCCTATGACGAAAAAGCAGGTGGTGGTTCCTGCTGCCCTCCAGGTTGTGCATCTGAAGCCTACAAGAAAGTTTGCCTACCTGGGGCAGCTGGATCACAAAGTTGGCTGGAAGTACCAGACAGTGACAGCCACCCTGGAGGAGAAGAGGAAGGAGAAGGCCAAGATCCACTACCAGAATAAGAAACAGCTCATGGGATGGCCGGGCGCGGTGGCTCACGCCTGTAATCCTAGCACTTTGGGAGGCGGAGGCGGGCAGATCAGGAGGTCAGGAGATTGAGACCATCCTGGCTAACATGGTGAAACCCAGTCTCTACTAAAAAAATAAAAAATAAAAATAGCCGGGCGTGGTGGCGGGCGCCCGTAGTCTCAGCTACTTGGGAGGCTGAGGCAGGAGAATGGCGTGAACCCGTGGGGCGGAGCTTGCAGTGAGCCGAGATCGCGCCACTGCACTCCAGCCTGGGCGACAGAGTGCGACTCCGTCTCAAAAAAAAAAAACAAAAAAACAAAACAGCTAATGAGGCTACAGAAACAGGCCGAAAAGAACGTGGAGAAGGAAACTGACAAATACTGGGGTGTCCTCAAGACCCATGGACTCCTGCTGTGAGCCCAATAAAGACTGTTTACTCCTCAATAAATAAATAAATATGTAAATAAATAAAAACAGGGAACTGTGCTTTGGCTTGATTGATTTTGGGCTCCAGCCTAACAAGGGTTCTCCTCCAAAGAAAGTCTAAACATACAAACAGAAATTCCCAGCCTAGGCAGCAGGTACAGCTGGGATGCTGGCAGTGCTTAGAGAAGGGAGGCGGCCAGGCGTGGTGGCTCAGGGCTGTATCCCAAGCACTTTGGGAGGCCGAGGGGGGGCGGGTCACTTGAGATCAGGAGTTCGAGACCAGCCTGGCCAACATGGTGAAACCCAGTCTCTACTAAAATACAAAAAAATTAGCCGGGCATGGTAGTGTGCACCTGTAGTTCCACCTACTCAGGAGGCTGAGGCAGGAGAATCGCTTGAACCCAGGAGGCGGAGGTTGCAGTGAGCCGAGATCGCACCACTGCACTCCAGTCTGGGTGACAGAGCAAGACTCTGTCTCAAAAAAAAAAAAAAAGAAGGAGGAAGGGGGCACATGAGGGTTGTGGCAGTCGGGATAGGGCAGCAGGAGACCTAGACACTGAAAAACTTCAGCAGGCATAGAGAACAGGGTGGCCCCCCAATAGCCGAAGGGTTCAGGGCAGTGGGGGTAGGCTTGGAAACGTCAGAACATCCAGGGCTTCAAATACCAGGCCAGGGAGCCCAGGCCTTGACCTGCCAGTGGTGGGGAGCACAGAAGGCAGCCACCAGCCCTCACTGAGCAAGCATTTACTAAGTGCATGCTGTGGGCCAGGACTGTGCAATACTTGGTTAGGGAGGATGCAGAGGTGTGGCTGACAAGACCCCACCCAGAACAGAATACTCCCAGGCTAATTCCTCATAGGGCTCCAGGTTATGTCCTCACGTCCTCAATCACTCATTCAATAGATATTCACTGATATGGTAGCTAGCCTCAGAGATGTCCTCAGTAATCCCATCTTCCTGGTAATCCTGCCTTTGTGTAGTCAATGTGGGAAGGGCTCACACTAAATAGACTTGTAACCAATAAGATACTGGAGAAATGACAGAGTGTGACTTTTGAGATCAGATTTAAAAGGACTTTGTGGTTTCTTGTTCTCTTGAATCACTCACTTTGGTGGACACCAACTACTATGTGTTGAGGACACTCAAGGGGCCCTATGGAGAAGCCCACATGGCAAGGAACTGAGGCCTCCTGCCAACAGCCACGTGAATGCCCCATTTTGAATGTAAATCTGAAGCCGCCTTTGCAAAATTGTGACTGATACAGTGGAAGAGATCTAACTTAATTGACTCCATCTTGCTTCTAATCTCCAAGTTGTCTTTATTCATTCCTGGGCATAGGCTGAACTAACATTCGGAGAAACTTAGTTTATAGTTTATAGATTAAAATGAAGATGATAATGGCCCTTTCCCAAAGCAGACCTCTTTCTTGCCTAGGGACTAGATTGCCTATATAGGACTAACATTAGCCACAAGATTAGAAATTATGGCTTAGGAGTCATGCAGCTGGAGGCTGCAAGATTCTGACCTTCCCTAAACTGCTCCTAAGATCAGTGCTTGTGATATTTTGCAGCCCCTGCCCTTGATGGATCAGCTGGCACCACCCAGATTGATAAACTGGCTCGTCTGATCTTGTGGCCCCCACCCAGGAACTGACTGGGCACTAGAAAACAGCTTCAACATCCTGTGATTTCATCCCTGACCAATCAGCACTCCTGTCTCACTGGCTTCCCCCAACCCACCAAGTTGTCCTTAAAACTCTGCTCCCTGAATGGTCGGGGAGACTGATTTCAGTAATAGTAAAACTCTGGTCTCCTGCACACCAGGCTCTGTGTGAATTACTCTTTCTCTATTGCAGTTCCCCTGTCTTGATAAATCAGCTTTGTCTAGGCAGTGGGCAAAGTGAACCCACTGGGGGGCCACAAATCCTCCAGCCCCAGCCAAGCTTTCAGATGACTGAAGCTCAGACCAACATCTTGACTACAACTTAATGAGAAACTCAACCAGAACCAACCCACTAAGCCACTCCCGAATTCCTGATCCACTGAAACTGTGAGATACTACATGTTTGTTGCTCTAAGCCATAAGATTTTGAGATAAATTGTTACTCTAAATCAATACAACCGATACCCACTCTGCCCTAGCACTGTCCCCACTGTCATGGAGTTACCTAGACCACAACAACAGGTCTTCCCTAGTCTTCCTGCCTCCTGTCTTGAGCCCCTCCAATTTTTTCTCTACATAGGGTCCAGACTAAATTGAAGGTCTACTTATCAAGAAATGTTTATTTTGGCCAAGCGCAGTGGCTCACGCCTGTAATCCTAGCACTTTGGGAGGCCAAGGCAGGTGGATTTCTTGAGGTCAGGAGTTCAAGACCAGTCTGGGTAACATGGTGAAACCCCATCTCTACCAAAAAAAAAAAAAAAAAAAAAAAAAAAAAAAATATATATATATATATATATATATATATACACACACACACACACACACACACACACAAAAATTAGCCACGTGTGGTGGCATATGCCTGTAATCCCAGCTACTCAGGAGGCTGAGGCAGAAGAATCACTTGAACCTGGGAGGCAGAGGTTGCAGTGAGCCAAGATTGCACCACTGCATTCTAGCCTGGGCGACAGAGCGAAACTCTGTCTCAAAAAAAGAAAAGAAAAGAAATAAAAGATCATGGCTCAAAACCTCTCGTGGTCCTCCATTAAGTGGCCCTCAATTAAGTATTTTGTGCTACTTCCAGGAAGTTATTTAGTGCAGTGGTGGAGGATTTGACATCCCTGAGCTAATTTGAGGGCAGAGTAGCATGAAGGAGCTACTCCTTCCAGGGGGCCAGGCCAAACAAGGACTCACAATCCTTGTTTGCCCTGGCCCCCTGGAATGCCAATCCAAGGGCCACCAGGGGAGGGTAGAAGGGGCACCAGGCAGCTAGGCCTGAGACAGGTCTTTGTTTCGAAGTCCACAATGGCAGGATGCCCAGCACAGACCCAGCTTCCCAGGCTTCCTCCAAAGCAGGACAAGGGGGCTGGAGGCTTGGCATCCACGCTGCTATGCTCAGGCGGGAGCATGCCTGGGGGACTCTCAAATGTGCTCTGGCAGGCTGAGGAGGGGTGGGGCAGATAACACGAGAAGCCTTGAGGAGGAAGTGGAAGCATCTGTGATAAGACTGAGGCCTTCCTAGGCCTTTGTCCATTACAGCTCCAGAAGCTGGTGGGGGATTAGGTTCCACTGCTGCCCCCACTCAATGCACAGAGGCACAGGTGGAGAGGACCTTGTGCAAGGTCACAGAGCTCAGATGTACCAAAGCCAGGATTCGAGCACAAGTCAAACTCCAGAGCCCCTGTTCTTTTTTATTTTTGTTTATTTTTTGAGATGGAGTCTCATTCTGTCACACAAGCTGGAGTGCAGTGGCGTAATCTTGGCTCACAGCAATCTCTGCCTCCTAGGCTCAAGCGATTCTCCTGCCTCAGCCTTCCGAGTAGCTGGGATTACAGGTCCCCACCACCATGTCCGTCTAATTTTTTTTTTTTTTGAGACGAAGTCTTGCTCTTGTCCCCCAGGCTACAGTGCAATGGCATGATCTCGGCTCACTGCAACCTCCGCCTCCCAGGTTCAAGCGATTCTCCTGCCTCAGCCTCCCAAGTAGCTGGGATTACAGGCGGCTGCCACCATGCCCAGCTAATTTTTGTATTTTTAGTAGAGACGGGGTTTCACCATGTTGGCCAGGCTGGTCTTGAACTCCTGACTTCAGGTGATCCGCCCCCCTCGGACTCCCAAAGTACTGGGATTACAGGCGTGAGCCACCACATCCCACCAAACCCAAGCTTTTTGACTCCCAATCCAGCGCTCTCTGTGCCCACTGCTGGGAGGGGTGATAGGCATGGCTTTGGCTGTGGCCTTGGGGGAATCACCTCAATGTCTAATGGTCCTGAATCTGGTGACAAACCAGCTCCCAGGTCACACACAACCCCAATTACCTGTCCCCACAACCACCAGGGGCAGGCTTTAATCTGATGTGAGGCTCACTCATTAGCCAAGCATCCCACAAGGCCTAGAAATGAGGGTGGTACAGGGAGGTCCCTGCTATGGCAGTGGGGGCCAGTTGGATGGGAAAGGGTCCTGAGTCACCGAGGAGGATTTGACCACAGCCATCCATCCCTCCATCCTGCCTGGCAAAGCCTGAGAGTGGAGGCCAGAGGTACCCAAGCTGCTCAGGGACTGGGCTGGGCCAGCGGCATCTCTGAGTCATAGAGAGGGTGGGTGACAGGTGACTCAGCCCAGGCCGACTTCCCCTTCTGTAAGGCAGCCTGGGCGGAGGCTGGAACCAGGAAACCCCATACCGGTCCTCCTAGGCCTTCCCTACCCACTCCCACCCCGCCGTGGGCTGGCCCTTTACTCAGCCCTGTCTAGCACTTGCTGGCACTGTGGTCCCTTACGAATTCTGGTTACTGAATCTGAATGATTCCTCCCTGAATCTCAGTCTCCATAGACCACAGCCCCAGCCTGGTCTAGCTCCTAGTCCTCACACAAATGGGAGACATTTTGCAGATGGTTTCCAGAAAGGTTGGGTGAATACCCCAAGATAAAAGCAGAGCCAGTTGGTGCCATTACCTCCTTCCTCACTCCTGGCCCTGCCCAGCGCTCCTCATTCGAACCCTCTCCATAGGGATCATCAGTTCCATTTTGCAGATCTGGAAGCTGAGGCCTAGGGAAGGGAGGCTCCCAGTCAGGTGGGCAGAGCAGGATTAGGTTCCAGGTGTTCTCACTCCAACTGGGTCCTTATCATCTTTAACAGGTGATCTCCAGGAGAGGTAGCTGGCTGGGGAGAGTTAGGTGTTACAAGAGCCAAGGAAAGGCTCAGAGGTAAATAACAAAGCTGACGCCAGCTGGCGAGTCAGGGAGCTCTGGGGGTTGGGACTCCTGTCTTAGGTTCCCTACATGGGAGCCCTGCTCCCCTATACCCCTGCAAGCCTCCTGAGCACAGTCCCTTGTCAAGACCCTCATCAGCCCTTTTTTTTTTTGAAAGAGATAGGGTCTTGCTCTGTCACCCAGGCTGGAGTGCAGTGGCATGATCATAGTGCACTGCAGCCTCCAACTCCTGGCCTCAAGCGATTGGATTTTTCTTTTCTTTTTTGAGATGGAGTTTCGGTCTTGTTGGCCAAGCTGGAGTGCAGTGGCACAATCTCGGCTCACTGCAACCTCTGCCTCCTGGGTTCCAGCGATTCTCCTGCCTCAGGTGCACGCCAGCAGGCCTGGCTAATTTTTTTGTATTTTTAATAGAGACGGTGTTTCAGCATGTTGGCCAGGCTGGTCTCGAACCCCTGACATCAGGTGATCCGCCCGCCTTGGCCTCCCAAAGTACTGGGATTACAGGTGTGAGCCACCGCGCCCGGCCTGGATTTCTCTTTTTAAAAAGAGTTGCATGTTTGGGTTTTCTCCTCCAGGCAGGGGTTTAAGCTGTGGGAAGGGAGGAGGTTGTTGTAGGAAGCGGGGACTGGACGGAGGGAACAGCATGTACAAAGGTTTCAGTGAGCAGGCCTGGTATCACGGGGAACTGAAAGAAGTCGGTGAGGCTGGAAGGCAGAGCCCAGGGGAAGGGAGACAAGCTGGGTGAGGCTGCAGGTGCCACGTCCTGAGTGAGTTGGGGTCTGGGGTAGGAAATTCTGACTTTGTCCCAAGAGCAGTGAGGAACATCAGAATGTGCACGTTTTAGTGAGATCCCTCTGGGTGAAGGGGTCTGTGTGTAAGATGGAGTAGAGGGGCCAGGCAGAGCAAGGGGGAGGCCACTGCCACTGTCCAGAAGATGGGCAATGGTAGCCCAGCCAGTGGAGGGATTTGAGGGAATGGCACTGGGCTCGGGGTGGGGGGCCAGACAGACTGCGATGGGTAAGGGAGGATGTCCTAGTTTCTGTGTGGGAAGCCTACCACTCTCCCTATATCCCCTCTGTACAACCAACAAATGACACAGGCATACAAGCAAAAATAGTGTATTTGAGGATGGATGACCCAAAATTGGGGGGCCCAGGGGTGAGGCCACAGCAGCTGCCTGGAGTTGGCACAGACTACCCCAACTCCCTAGGGGAGCCCAGCAGCATAGAAGCCCCCCTGCTGGGCCTCCTAGCTGCCTCCCCCCCAGGAGGAAGGATTGTGTAACCGCCAAGAATCATCATCATCGTCATTGTAACAAGTTGAGGTCTTCAAAGTTTGCCCAGCAATTTTTGGCATCGTAATTGATATTAATCATAATAATGACTCTGACAAGCACAGGGACTGTGCCAGGCTTGGACCCACCATCCAGTGGTGTGCAGAGTCTGTGGCAGGGGTGAGGCAGGCAGGGATGGAACGCAGGTCTCCCTGGGAGTCCCCATTCCAATCTCCAAGGCAGCCCTTCCAGAAGGCTCCCCTCCCTGCCATGGCCCCCAGTAGAGGTCACTGCCAGTTCTCCACTTTTTTTTTTTTTTAATTGAGACAGCGTCTCGCTCTGTCTCCCAGGCTGGAGTGCAGTAGCATGCGATCTTGGCTTACTGCAGCCTCGATCTCCAGGGCTCAAGTGATCCTCCCACCTTAGCCTCCCATGTAGCTGGGACTATAGGCACGCGCCACCATGCCCAGCTAATTTTTCTATTTTTAGTAGAGATGAGGTTTTGCCATGTTAGCCAGGCTGGTCTCGAACTCCTGGCCTCAGGTGATCCACCCACCTCGGACTCTGGAAGTGCTGGGATTATAGGCGTGAGCCACCATGCCCAGCCCTGTTCTCCATTCCTTCTATGGCCACAGCGGAGGCTGGATTCAGGCCAGGGCCATCCCAGGTGGCTCCTGAGATCCCCCAGGTCTCAAAGACCCTTGCTGGGCTGGTCCCTCCGCCACAGCCCCCGACGGGCAGCCCAGGAGGCCACGAACTCGCAGTTGTGGTAAAGGAACATTCCTGAAAGAGTGAGTGCGATGCCCACGTAGCTGAGGGCACTGAGGCGGCTGCCAAACAACAGCCGGGACAGGATGAGGTTGCCCACCACGGTGAGGTTGCCCAGGACGTGGACGGTGAGGGCAGAGGTGAGGGCCAGCAGGGAGAAGCTGGCCAGGTTATAGAGAACAGACAGGAGGCAGCTGAGCAGGATGCAGGCCCAGAGGCGAGAGTCGCCAGCAGTGGGCGGTGGGGCAACGCCAGCCTCCAGCACCAGGGCTGCACCCGCCAGCAGGCAGAAGCTGGGCAGCGAGGTGGCGTAAAGCAGGGTCACCGCGTCCAGCCTCTCCTCCTGCAGCAGGGCACCTGCAACAGGACAACCGCCATGAGCACCCAGAAGGACACAACCCCCTCCAGCCACCCCAGTATGACCCCTATGGCCGATCCTCCAAGAAGCCTACCCGGACCCCTCGGGCAGGGCTAGTGGCTCCTGATCTGAAACATGACAGTCAAGAGTTGGAGTCAGACCACCTGGGTTTGTGACCTGTGTCCACCCCTGAGTAGCTGTGACCTGGGCTCATGAGAGGCACTTAACCTCCGTAAGCCTGAGTTTCCTCACCTGGAGAGTTGGGTAATAATAAAACCTAATCACGGGTTGTTGTAAACATTTTAAAAGACGGCATACATAAAGCCCTTAAATGGGAAATGCTCAGTAAATATAAAAAACTAAACTAAAATAAATAAGTCTGTTATCAGCCACTTCAAACTGCCTCCCACGAGCTGAAACAATGATATGCTTGGGATATCTAAATGATCAATAAGCATGAAGACTAAGTGGCTCAAAAAACATTACAAAGGCTGGGTGTGGTGGCTCATGCCTGTAATCCCAGCACTTTGGGAGGGCGGATCGCTTGAGCCCAGGAGTTTGAGACCTGCCCGGGCAACGTGATAAAACCCTGCCTCTACACAATACAAATATTAGCTGGGAGTGGTGGCACGTGCCTTTAGTCCCAGCTACTCAGGAGGCTGAGGCAGGAGGATCTTGAGCTCAGGAGGTGGAGGTTGCAGTGAGCCAAAATTGCACCACTGCACTCCAGCCTGGGCAACAGAGCGAGACCCTGTCTTAAAAAAAAAAAAAAAAAAATCGGTCAGGTACAGTGGCTTATGCCTGTAATCCCAGCACTTTGAGAGGCTGAGGCAGGAGGATCACTTGAGCCCAGAGGAAGGCTACAGTGAGCTATGATGATGCTACTACACTCCACCTCAATGACCAGAGCAAGACCCTGTCTCTAAAAAATAAAAATAAATCTTCAGGGGCTGCCCTGGCCCTGAAGGTCCTAGGTTCTTTTTTTTTTTTTTTTTTTTTTTGGAGACAGAGTCTTGCTCTGTTGCCCAGGCTGGAATGCAGTGGAATGATCTCGGCTTGCTGCAACTTCTGCCTCCCAGGTTCAAGTGATTCTCCTGCCTCAGTCTCCCAAGTAGCTGGGATCACAGGCATGCGCCACCACAACTGGCTAATTTTTGTATTTTTAGTAGAGACGGGGTTTCGCCATGTTGGCCAGGCTGGTCTCGAACTCCTGACCTCAGGTGATCCTCCCACCTCGGCCTCCCAAAGTGCTGGGATTACAGGCGTTGAGCCAGTGCACCCAGCCCAGGGTTCTTCACCCAGCTTCGAAGACTCTGCATCAACTGGCCCCAACCACCTTTCCCGCCTCAGCCCCTATCACTCCCACACTGCAGTTCCAGCCACCATGAAAGGGCAGGCCAGCAGAGGGTCCCAGCTCTGCCACTTACTAGCCACATGGGGGCCTTTGCATTAAAAAAGAAGAGTTTATAAAAGAAAATAATAAATTGGGTCAAAAGTGTGACCCATTCATTGCCTCATTCACTTATGACCACTGGAGTGACAAGGGGACAAAAGGTCATTGTGGGATCTTGGCTCTCACTCACTGTTTATAACTGATAATCAGCATCTTTTTTTTTTCCTGCTAATACTGTGGCTTGTCAAGATGAATCCAGGACTAAGAGGAAACCTTTTCACTTTGTAAGGCAGGAGGGGATCTTGCTGCTTTGCCTATGTGTGACTGTGTATCTGTGTGTACCTACGTGTACACATGCCACCACCAGCCAATTCACAAAGGGGTGCCCAGGCGAAATGACATTATTATTATTATTTGAGACAGGGTCTGGTTCTCTTGCCCAGGCGAAATGACATTATTATTATTATTTGAGACAGGGTCTGGTTCTCTTGCCCAGGCTGGAGTGTAGTGGTACGATGTCAGTTTACTGCCTTCCGAGCTCAAGCGATCCTCCCTTCTCAGCCTCCCAAGTAGCTGGGGCTACAGGCATGCACCATCACCCCTGAAAATTTTTGTATTTTTTGTAGAGATGGGGTTTCGTCATCTGGTTCACCCAGGCTGGTCTCAAACTCCTAGACTCAAGCAATCTGCTCAGCTTGGCCTCCCAAAGTGCTGGGATTACAGGTGTGAGCCATTGCGCCTGGCTGAAATGACATTATTTGCATGAGGGCAATGATGGCATGGGGCCTTTGCCAAGTTAGTGGAGAGAGATGAGTAGTCGACACAGGTCCCCTCCCAGGCCTCTGTGAGCCTCTATGCATTTTCTGACACACACTTTCCAAAAAGCCACAGAGATGCTTACTCATAGGCTATGCTTAGAATAGGAAATTTTATTTCTCTCTCAATTTCATTCCGATGTTTTAGCTTTGTTCTCTAGGCAACAAACAGTCCCTCTGGCTCAAGCGTTTCTAGAAATGAACAGATAATCAGAATGCCTCCTGCTCGCAGGCTCGAAAGTTAACAGTGTTATGAGCTACCTGTGGCTTGCACATTAAACGTCCCATCACAAGAAGGCGGTTGGGTTTTCAGGTGAACTTCACCTTTGGTAAATTTCACCCTCTGCAAGGCAGCCAGGCAGGAAGGTCCTAAACTTCCCACCCATCTCCTCACACCTATTGTACATCCCACCCAATCCTCCACCTCCCCTCCCTGCAGCCCAGGGAAAGGGCAGCCATTCGCTGTCAGAGGCGGTGACTGGCTTCTACCTGGGGACCCCAAAATGTCAGCCTGTTTGTCCTGCCTCATTGCCACCTCTCCTTCTATTGGAACATGCCCAAGTTTCTGCCACATGCAGACAACAGCTGACCCTTCTCTAAACCCTGTCTGCTTGCTATTGGCTTGGCCCTTTTGCTCTTTCACGGGCTGTGTGATACTGTCTCCCTCTCTCCACGCCTCAGTCTCCTTAAGTCGTGTGGCTCGGGTAGCAACAGCCCCCTCACATGTGAGGTGCTGAACACAGGGCCTGATGCCCTGTGTGATGTCCTTGATGCCGGCTCACCCCGGCAGCTGGCATGATCCCCACACCCTGCTCCTGCTGGCTGACACCCTGTGCCCTGGCACGGCCTGTTTCCCATTCCCAGATCACCCTTTCCTCCTCCTTCAGTATGAAGAGCTGGGCATGGTGTGGGCACCTAGGGAGGCCCCAACAAATGTTTGCTCTCATGGTTACATTATTGTCATCATCATTGCATGTCTCTTCCCCTAGATAGCCTTCTCAGCGCTCCCCAGGAAGAAGCAACCGCTCCCCAACACGTGTGACCACTTTGACTCTAGAACTTCTTTTCTGCCATCATGATCTCTATATCTGAGTGCATCTCCCCCATCAGCCTGAGAGCTCAGAGGGGTTGAGTCCGCCTGCTCTGTGATGCGGACGGGCGGGGGAGTCCAGCTGAGAGCAAGCTCAGCAGGCTGGCGCCCCACTTCCCACCCTTTCTGTGGGTAGGAGGATGGCATAACCCCTCTCCTTGTGCAGGCTCCCTGGGCCTACAACTGGCCCAAGAAGGAGGGAAGTCGCTGGCCCTGCCAACAGCTGCCTGGGCTCTCCTCTTTCTGGATACTTTTTTTTTTTTTTTTTTGAGACGGAGTCTCACTCTGTCGCCCAGGCTGGAGTGTAGTAGCGCTATCTGGGCTCACTGCAAGCTCCGCCTCCCGGGTTCACGCCATTCTCCTGCCTCAGCCTCCCGACTAGCTGGGACTACAGGTGCCCACCACCACACCTGGCTATTTTTTTGTATTTTTTAGTAGAGACGGGGTTTCACTGTGTTAGCCAGGATGGTCTCAATCTCCTGACCTCATGATCCACCCACCTTGGCCTCCCAAAGTGCTGGGATTACAGGTGTGAACCACCGTGCCTGGCCTTTTTTTTTTTTTTTTTTGAGATGTTGCCCAGGCTAGAGTGCAATGGTGTGATATCTCGGCTCACTGCAACCTCCGCCTCCCTGGTTCAA
This sequence comes from Homo sapiens, assembly GCF_000001405.40. Lineage (NCBI taxonomy): Eukaryota > Metazoa > Chordata > Mammalia > Primates > Hominidae > Homo > Homo sapiens. The sequence continues at coordinate 30,642,657 of NC_000022.11, read as the reverse complement.
GAGATTCTCCTACCTCAGCCTCCCGAGTAGCTGGGATGACAGGCATGCACCAGCATGCCCAGCTAATTTTTTTTGTATTTTTAGTAGAGACGGGGATTCACCATGCTGGCCAGGCTGGTCTCGAACTCCTGACCTCAAGTGAGCTGCCTGCCTTGGCTTCCCAAAGTGCTGGGATTACAGGCGTGAGCCACCATGCCCAGCCTTCTTTCTGGATACTTGCCCTCTGCTCCCACAAACTCTGCTCTCAGGAATGGAGCTGGCATCAGCCACGTACACTCACGTCTGAATCTGGCCCTGGTGCCTCTCCTGGAGCCTCCTGCAGTAGAAACCTTTTGTTCAAAACCTATCTCAGGCTGGGTGTGGTGGCTCATGCCCGTAATCCCAGCACTTTAGGCCGAGGTGGGTAAATCACTTGAGTCTAGGAGTTGGAGACCAGCCTGGGCAACATGATGAAACCCCATTTCTACAAAAAATACAAAAATTAGCTGGGCATGGAGGCACGCCTATAGTCCTAGCTACTCGGGAGGCTGAGGTGGGAGGATTGCCCGAGCCTGGGAAATTGAGGCCGCAGTGAGCCACTGCACTCCAGCCTGGATGACAGAGCAAGACCCTCTCATAAACAAACAAACAAACAAGCAAAAAAAGCCTATCTCAGGCCCTGGCTCAAGTCTGTTCCTCCCCATCTCTGCAGGGCTCCTATCTCTGTTAGTGGGGCCTCTAGCCCCCTAAACTCCCTCCTGAATCAGGCAGCCCAACCAGTCTATGAGATCAGCTCGCCTGTCAGAGCCATCAGTAAATCTGTCGGCATGTTGGCTCACACCTGTAATTCCAGCACTTTGGGAGGCCCGGAGGGAAGATCACTTGAGGCCAGGGGTTTGAGACCAGCCTGGGCAACATAGTGAGCCTGTTTCTAAAAAAAAAAAAAAAAAAAAAAAAAAATTAAAAATTAGCCAGGACGGTGGCATGAGCCTGTAGTCCCAGCTACTCAGGAGGCTGAGGCACAAGAATTGCTTGAAACCAGGAGGCAGAGGTTGCAATGAGCTGAGATTGCACTGCTGCATTCCAGCCTGGGCGACAGAGAGAGATTGTCTCAAAAAAAAAAATAATAAAATAAAATTTAAAAATTATAATTTACAAATTATGTATCCTCTGCAAGGCCCCAGGGCTAGGTTCCAGGAACATAGAATTGCCCCAAATCTGTCTGGCAGGCAGCAGACAGGTAACCAGGTGGTGATCATACATGGCATTTGGAACCATGATAGGGGGAGCAGAGGATACCGCAGGAGCCCAGAGCAAGGACTCAACCTCCCAGGGGTCAGGAGTTAAGACTAGGGAGGGAGGGAAGGAGGGAGCTGGCAGGAGTCAAGATGCAGCCCGATGCCAGGCACATGCCACTCCATGCCCAAGTGCCTGAGGCCTGGCCGGCCATTGCCCCTCCTGCAGGCTGGGGCTGCCTGGGTCCCAGTGTGAGAAGCACTGACTCTTTCTCAGCAGGGGCAGCATGGGCCTTGAGGTTAGGACCTTCACAGCCCTGTGGCCTGCACAGGGGTGCCCACAGGTCAGGTTTCCCAGTGCAGACTCATGCCCAGAGCTCATGCCTGTGCTCAGCCTCTAGCTCTCATGTAACCTGAGGGCAAAAAATAGAACTGGGTTTTGACCCTGCCTTGGAGCCAGGGAGGATAGAGATAGGGCCTCTGTGTCAGCTCTGAATACGCCAGGGCAGGGCTGAACTCTGACTTCAATCTTCCCTGGCTGTGGGCTGTCATCAATCCCAGCCCAGCACTCTTGGTGTGCCCACTTCCTTCTCCCAGGCCTGGGTCACAGGATCTCAGGGCGAAGGGAGAGCAAGAGGCCCCTTGGACTCCATCAACTCCAACTCTCCTCCACTGACAGATGAGGAAACTGAGGCCCAGATAAAATCCCAATATGCCCAAGGTTGCCCAGCAAATATGAGCAAAGGTATGGCTGGAACCCAGGCCTCCCCACCCTGAGTGGGCACCCTGGCCTCCCCTATGTCTCCTTGGGTTGAGGCAGAGAGAGGATAGAGGCTGCGACTCAGATGCCCCTCAGTAGGAAAGGCAGGAAGCCAGCCTTCGCCCTCAGGCAGAATGATCTAGTGGGTCTGGGCCTGGAGCCTCGGCCCTAAACTGCCCAGAGCCCTGCTGCCCTCTTTCATCAGAGCCAGCATCTGGAGTCACATAGACCATGCTTCACATCATTAGGGACCCCGTGACCTCTGTGCAAATCATGAACTTCTTTCTTTCTTTCTTCTTTTTTTTTTTTTTTTTGAGATGGAGTCTAGCTCTGTCCCTAGGCTGGAGTGCAGTGGCGTGATCTCGGCTCACTGCAACCTCTGCCTCCTGGGTTCAAGTGATTCTCCTGCCTCAGGTTCCCGAGTAGGGGGGATTACAGGCAGGCGCCACCACGCCCAGCTAATTTTTGTAATTTTAGTAGACAGGGTTTCACCACGTTGGCCAGGATGGTCTTGATCTCCTGACCTCGTGATCCTCCCACCTCTGTTGCGGGAAGTCAGGGACCCCAAACGGAGGGACCAGCTGAAGCCATTGCAGAAGAACGTGGATTGTGAAGATTTCATGGACATTTATTAGTTTCCCAAATTAATACTTTTGTAATTTCTTACGCCTGTCTTTACTGCAATCTCTGAACATAAATTGTGAAGATTTCATGGACACTTATCACTTCTCCAACCAATACCCTTGTGATTTCCTATGCCTATCTTTAATCTCTTAATCCCATCATCTTCGTAAGCTGAGGAGGCTGTATGTCGCCTCAGGACCCTGTGATGATTGCGTTAACTGCACAAATTGTAGAGCATGTGTGTTTGAACAATATGAAATCTGGGCACCTTGAAAGAACAGGATAACAGCAATGTTCAGGGAACAAGAGAGATAATCTTAAACTCTGACTGCCGGTGAGCCGGGTGGAACAGAGCCATATTTCTCTTCTTTCAAAAGCAAATGGGAGAAATGTTGCTGAATTCTTTTTCTCAGCAAGGGACATCCTTGAGAAAGAGAATGCGTCCCTGAGGGTAGGCCTCTAAAATGGCTGCTTCTGGGGGGCGGCCATCTTTTATGGTCGAAGCTGTAGGGATGAAATAAGCCCCAGTCTCCCATAGCGCTCCCAGGCTTATTAGGACGAGGAAATTCCCGCCTAATAAATTTTGGTCAGACTGGTTGTCTGCTCTCAAACCCTGTCTCTTGATAAGATGTTATCAATGACAATGCGTGCCCGAAACTTCATTAGCAATTTTAATTTCACCCCGGTCCTATGGTCCTGTGATCTGGCCCTGCCTCCATTTGCCTTGTGATATTCTATTACCTTGTGAAGCACGTGGTCTCTGTGACCCACATCCTATTGGTACACTCCCTCCCCTTTTGAAAATCACTAATCAAAACTTGCTGGTTTTATGGCTCAGGGGGCATCACGGAACCTGCCGACATATGATGTCTCCCCCGGACACCCAGCTTTAAAATTTCTCCCTTTTGTACTCTGTCCCTTTATTTCTCAGACCAGCTGACACTTAGGTAATACAGAAAAGAACCTACGTGAAATATCAGGGGTGAATTTCGCCCGATATCTGGCTGAATTTCCCCCAATACACCTCAGCCTCCCAAAGTGCTGGGATTACAGGTGTGAGCCACTGCGCTGGGCTGAACTTCTTTCTTTTTCTTGAGACAGAGTCTCATTCTGTCGCCCAGGCTGGAGTGCAGTGGTGTAATCTCAGCTCACTGCAACCTCCTTCTCCCGGGTTCAAGGAATTCTTATGCCTCAGCCTCCCCAGTAGCTGGGATTACAGGTGCATGCCACCTGGCCCGGCTAATTTTGAGACAGAGTTTCACTCTTGTTACCCAGGCTGGAGTGCAATAGCGTGATCTCAGCTCACTGCAACCTCCGCCTCCCAGGTTCAAGCGATTCTCTCACCTCAGCCTCCTGAGTAGCTGGGATTACAGGCGCCCACCATCACGCTCAGCTAATTTTTGTATTTTCAGTAGAGACAGGGTTTCCCCATGTTGGCCAGGCTGGTCTCGAACTCCTGACCTCAGGTGATCCACTTGCCTCGGCCTCCCAAAGTGCTGGGATTACAGCTGTGAGCCACTGCGCCTGGCCCAATTTTTTTTTTTTTTTTTTTTTTTTTGAGATGGAGTCTCACTCTGTCGCCTTGGCTGGAGTGCAGTGGGGCGATCTTGGCTCACTGCAACCTCTGCCACCCGGGTTCAAGCTATTCTCCTGCCTCAGCCTCCCGAGTAGCTGGGATTACAGACACCTGCCATGGCGCCCGGTTAATTTTTTTGTATTTTTAGTAGAGATGGGGTTTCACCACCTTGGTTAGTCTGTTCTTGAACTTCTGACCTCATGATCCACCCGCCTCAGCCTCCCAAAGTGCTGGAATTACAGGCATGAGACACCGCGCCCGGCCCCAATTTTTGTATTTTTAATAGATACAGGGTTTCACCATGTTGGCCAGGGTGGTCTCGAACTCCTGGTCTCAAGAGTCCTCCCACCTCAGCCTCCCAAAGTGCTGGGATTACAGGCATGAGATACCATGCCCAGCCTGTCAAATCATGAACTTCTCTGGGTCTTAGTCCCATCATCTGTAAAATGGGGATAAAGTTGGTGGTTGCCATGACAACTCAAGGTCAACACTCAGCACCAAGCCTGTCACACTGTAGCTCCCAGTAAACAACAGCCCTCCCCAGACTTAGACCTGACCCCTGACCTTCCAAATCCCAGCTCATCCCAGACCCTCCTTTTCTCTCCCTGGCCCATGCTTTCTGGCTTTCCTTTGTGTCCAAAGCCTCAGGCCACATCTCTTGGAAGCATGGAGTCTGACTATCTGGGTTTAGATCTTGCCTCTGCTGCTCACTGGCCACGTGGCCCAGGGCAAGCCTCTTCATCTATCAAATGGGAACAATACAGTGAGATAAAAGGCTAGTCAAACACAGATCACTGGCTATCACTAAATACTGGTTTGTAATTCCAGAACTTCAGGAAGCTGAGGGGGGAAGATCGCTGAGGACAGGAGTTCAAGACCTACCTTGGCAACATAGCAAGACTCTGTGTCTATAAAAAAAAAAAATTAGCTGACCAGGTGGGGTGGCTCACGCTTGAAATCCTAGCACCTTGGGAGGTCAGGAGTTCAAGATCAGCCTGGCCAACATGGTAAAATGCTGTCTCTACTAAAAATACAAAAATTAGCTTAGCGTGGTGGTGTGCACCTGTAGTCCCACTTACTTGGGAGGCTGAGGCAGAAGAATCACTTGAACCCAGGATGCGGAGGCTGTATTGAGCTGAGATCTCACCAATGCAGCCTGGGTGACAGAGCCAGACCCTGTCTAAATAAGTAAATAAACAAATAAACACGAGTTGGGCCTCCAGAGCCTGAGTCTGGGGCCTGGAACTCACTGAACTGTTGGCCCTCTCTGAGCCTCAGTTCTGCTTCCTCCACAGCCATGAACCTCAGTTTCCTCATTTGTAAAATGGGACAACAGCCATACCCCTCACAGGGCCATCCAGGCCATGCACCCACCCGGACCCCCACCTTCTCAATTGGCCACCCAGGCACTTACTTTGCTGAACCGACTTGAGTCCGCGGAGGCAGGTGGCTGCGAGCAGGAAGCCACAGCCGGTAGGGGGTGTCCGGAACTCTCCAGCCAGGCTGCAGGCGGCCCCCAGGCAGAGCGGACCCATGGCGGCCAACTGAAGTGGGTGGTGGCGGCGGCCCAGCAGCAGCGCCGACAGGGCCAGGGTGAACAGAGGTGTGGTGGTAGTAACCAGTTGTGCCAGGTCCAGGGGCACAGCCCTTAGGCCCACGTTGCCGCAGGCCATGGACGTGCCAAAGGTGAGACTGAGCAGTAGGACTCGGCAGCGAGTGCCGCCTGGCATGGGGCGCCGTGCCCCCCGGTGGCATGCCAGGGCTGCCACCAGCATGTGCAGGGCCGACAGCAGCAGGGGCCGCCCAAAGCCGTGCACTGTGAAGATCCACTTGTTGAGGCTTGACATGCTGGCTCCCGCCAGCAGCCACACCAGTGCTGCCATGGCCACTCGGGCCCGGCCAGGCTGCCGGAGGGCCTGAGGGCTGCCAGGGGGCCACTCGGGGGGCCCAGCCGCCTGAGCACCACCAGCTGCTGCTCCTACTTCGGCTGAGGTCATCCTGCCATCATGGTGCTCCGGCGGGCAGCGGCACATCCGCACCAGTGAGGCTAGGGCAGGAGGCGGGCTCCCCAGTGACGACCTCTGGGCCACCAGAGAGTTCCGCTTGGGGCCAGGCTAGATCCTGGTTCCTCCGACCCCGTGTCCCGTTTCAGACAGGTGAGGACACTGCTTACTTGTGCCAGGCCTGTGCCAGCGATGTCTAGAAGCTAAGCTGTGTTTCCAGCTCAGACAGGGCAGAGCCAAGGTCGCGGCTGCTAGGATGCCAGGGTCTCCGATGCTCAAGCGTGGGCTCCAGGCACCTCTGCCCCGTGCCAGGTGGTCTCCACTTTCCTCCTCGCCTAGTGCCCACGTTATGCTTTTAGATGAAATCCTCGTTCCTTTTTTCTCTTCAGTCCCCAGGTCATTAGGGTGCGCGCAGATCCAGACCCTGGGAACTCCTGCGTGCTCTGGCCGTGACCAGGCCTGGCAGGGGGGCGATCTGGGCTCCGCGCCTGGCGGTGCCCGGCCCGGGGGGTCGCGGGCTCGCTGCCTCCCACAGCGCCCGGGCAGTGAGCTGACACCACGGCCCGTCCTCCGGCCGGTGCCTGGCGGCGAGCTAGGCGCGGATCCAGCAGGGCCTGCGCTCCAACTCCTGCTCTCTGAGGCTTTGGCTGCGGCTCTGGCTGCGGCTGTGACTCCGGCTGCGGCTCCTGCTGCGACTCACGCCCGGCTCCAGCTCAGGCCCGGCACGGCGGGCGCGGCGGTGCGCTCTTGACTCCGCCTCCGCCTCTGCCTCCCCCGCCGCCGCCCGCTCCCTACACGGAAAATTGGGCTGAGCACCCCAGCCAAGCCCCGCCCCAGGCCAAGCCCCGCCCCCGGACCGGGAGGGCGGTCTTGCCCCGCCCCAACGCCTCCCGCTCACAGCCCCTCCCCCATCGGCCTGGCATTTCCCCCATCAGCCCTCCTCCGCCCGGGGCCTGCGCATCTGCCCAGTAGACCCCCCCACGAGCTGGCGTGGTCAGCCTCTCTTCGCCGCCAGGGGGGACCAAGTCGCTCCCCACCCAGCGCCAAGGCGAGCCCTCCATGGAGATGAACGCGCATTGCTGGAGACACTGGGGTATCCCGCACAGCCGCCCAGGCTATCTTCAAGAAGCAGGGTAGTGAGGAGGGGCCCACAGCCCCCATCCTAGGACCAGTCTTACGCCCACCTGATCTCTGGCCACAATTATCTCGTGGGACCTCAGCATCCAGCAGAGCTGGATTACGGGGTCCCTTAAGGCACCTCCATCGCCCCTCCGTAGCCCCAGCATCCTCCCCAGCCTCCCAGTCCAGGGCGGCGCCCCCTGGGGACCCTCAGAGGGAAGCTGAATCACCAGGCAGGGATACCCACAGCTGCGGAAGTAGGTACCGCCGGCCGGCATCCTTCCCCGGCCAGCAGCCTCTGTCCGGTCCCCTGAGCACTCGAAGCTGACTCATAGCAGAACTTCCTGGGGTCCACCCTGTGCCCCAGCCCCGGCAAGACAGAGCCCTGGGCTGGGAGGCAGAGCGGTTGCCACTGAGCCCTTGTTCCTGTCTGGGTCTCGGTTTTCCCACCAGAACGACAGACGCTCTCTGAGGTCAGGATTGGGTAAACGGCGCGCCCCAGGGCAGAAGAGGTCCATCCAGATTCCAGGCTAGGCCAGGCCCTGGCCCCTCTGAGCTCTGAAGTCCGGGAGCACGAGGACCAAGGCCCAGCCATGTGCCCAGTATCAGATGTGAGCCTCTTTCCTGTTGTCGGTCTTCCTACTAGGCTCCTGCCCAAGAGGACCCAGCTCACCCCTTGCCTGTTGTCTAACCAGCAAATCCTTGATGACAGCAACCTGTCTTGAGACACAAGATCTCAAAGGGGTACCGCTGAACCCAGCCCGCTGCGCCCTCTGGTGGCCAGGCGCTGAATATAGCCCTCAATCCCCATCCCAATCACAGGACGCGGGTTTAAAATCCCCAGCCTCAAAGGAGGCCTGCTGAATCAGAGGCTCTCTGTCACGGGTGGGCCTGGGAATTTACATGGTCACATTTGCCTCTGTAAGTCCGACGCCCGCTGGAGCCTGCAGATCTCTGCTGAATAGCCTAAGCTACAGCGCAGGGGGTGCAGATAGGGAAATTTCCAGGCCAAGGACCAAAAAATGGTGGCATTTAGTGTTTCTCCAGAAAGGGTTGTGGAAAGGAAACTAAGCCAGCCAAAGCGGATGGCCCCTCTCCCGCACCCCCTTGCCATTTCCTGAGGAAGAGAAATCTGGGACCCCTAAGGGTTATAATTATCTTTGATATTTTGTCAGGTTTTTTTGTTTGTTTGTTTTCCAAGACCGAGTTTCGCTCTTGTTGCCCAGGCTGGAGTGCAATGGCACGATCTCAGCTCACTGCAACCTCTGCCTCCCAGGTTCAGGTGGTTCTCCTACCTCAGCCTCCCGAGTAGCTGGGATTACAGGCGTGCGCCACCAAACCCGGCTAATTTTTGTATTTTTAGTAGAGACAGGGTTTCACCATGTTGGTCAGGTTGGTCTCAAACTCTTGACCTCAGGTGATCCACCCACCCTGGCCTCCCAAAGTGCTGAGATTACAGGCGTAAACCACCACGCCCAGCCTGGATTTTGTCAGTTTTCTAGTAAGTCTCCTTTAGTAAAAAACAATAGTCTGGGTACAGTGGCTCATGCCTGTAGTCCCAGCACGTTGGGAGGCTGAGGCATGAGGATCACTTGAGCTCAGGAGTTGGAGACCAGCTTGGGCAACAGGGCAAAGCCTCGTGTCTACAGAAAATACAAAAATAAGCTGGGAGGCTGGCCGAAGAGGTTCACGCCTGTAATCCCAGCACTTTAGGAGGCCGAGGCTGGCGGATCACTTAAGGTCAGGAGTTGGAGACAGCCTGGCCAACATGGTGAAACCCCGTCTCTACTAAAAATACAAAAATTAGCTGGGTGTGGCGGTGGGCGCCTGTAGTCCCAGCTACTCAGGTGGCTGAGGCAGGGGAATCGCTTGAACCCGGGAGGCAGAGCTTGCAGTGAGCCAAAATCACACCACTGCACTCCAGCCTGGAAGAAATCGCACTACTGCACTCCAGCCTGGACGAAAGAGCAAGACTGCATCTCAAAAACAAACAAACAAACAAACAAACATGAGCTTGGCATGGTGGTGTCTGCCTGTAGTCCCAGCTACTCAGGGGATTGGGAGGGAGGATCCCTTGAGCCCAGGAGATGGAGGCTGCAGTGAGCTAAGATTGCACCACTGCACTCCAGCCTGGGTGACAAAGACCCTGCCTCAAAAAAAAATTTTTTTTTTTTTTTGAGAGAGTCTCGCTCTGTCGCCCAGGCTGGAGTGCAGTGGCACGATCTCAGCTCACTACAAGCTCCGCCTCCTGGGTTCATGCTATCCTCCTGCCTCAGCCTCCTGAGTAGCTGGGACTACAGGTTCACGCCACCACGCCCGGCTAATTTTTTGTATTTTTAGTAGAGACAGGGTTTCACCGTGTCAGCCAGGATGGTCTCGATCTCCTGACCTTGTGATCCACCCGCCTTGGCCTCCCAAAGTGCTGGCATTACAGGGGTGAGCCACCGCACCCGACCAAAACTTTTTTAAATTTAATTAAAAAATAATAAGAGAGAAAAAACCAACAACAGTAATATTTTTTTTTTGAGATGGAGTTTCGCTCTTGTCACCCAGGCTGGAGTGCAGTGGCACAATCTCAGCTCACTGCAACCTCTGACACCCCCCGACCCCGGGTTCAAGTGATTCTCCTGCCTCAGCCTCCCAAGTACCTGCCATCATGCCTGGCTAATTTTTGTATTTTTACTAGAGATGGGGTTTCACCATGTTGGCCAGGCTGGTCTCGAACTCCTGACCTCAGGTGATCCACCCACCTTGGCCTCCCAAAGTGCTGGGATTACAGGCATGAGCCACCTTGCTCAGCAACAATAATAATTTATATATACATAAATTTTATTGCCCTCTCCCTCTCCCTCTCCCCACGGTCTCCCTCTCCCTCTCTTTCCACCGTCTCCCTCTGATGCCGAGCCGAAGCTGGACTGTACTGCTGCCATCTCAGCTCACTGCAACCTCTCTGCCTGATTCTCCTGCCTCAGCCTGCCGAGTGCCCGCGATTGCAGGCACGCGCCGCCACGCCTGACTGGTTTTCGTATTTTTTTGGTGGAGACGGGGTTTTGCTGTGTTGGCCGGGCTGGTCTCCAGCTCCTAACCGCGAGTGATCTGCCAGCCTCGGCCTCCCGAGGTGCCGGGATTGCAGACGGAGTCTGGTTCACTCAGTGCTCAATGTTGCCCAGGCTGGAGTGCAGTGGCGTGATCTCGGCTCGCTACAACCTCCACCTCCCAGCTGCCTGCCTTGGCCTCCCAAAGTGCCGGGAGTGCAGCCTCTGCTCAGCCGCCACCCCGTCTGGGAAGTGAGGAGCGTCTCTGCCTGGCCACCCATCGTCTGGGACGTGAGGAGCCCCTCTGCCTGGCTGCCCAGTCTGGAAAGTGAGGAGCGTCTCTGCCCGGCCGCCATCCCATCTAGGAAGTGAGGAGCGCCTCTTCCCAGCCGCCATCCCATCTAGGAAGTGAGGAGCGTCTCTGCCCGGCTGCCCATCGTCTGAGATGTGGGGAGCGCCTCTGCCCTGCCGCCCCGTCTGGGATGTGAGGAGCGCCTCTGCCCGGCCGCAACCCCGTCTGGGAGGTGAGGAGCGTCTCTGCCCGGCCGCCCCGTCTGAGAAGTGAGGAGCCCCTCCGCCCGGCAGCCGCCCCGTCTGAGAAGTGAGGAGCCCCTCCGCCCGGCAGCCACCCCGTCTGTGAAGTGAGGAGCGTCTCCGCCGGCAGCCACCCCGTCCGGGAGGGAGGTGGGGGTCAGCCCCCGCCCGGCCAGCCGCCCCGTCCTGGAGGTGAGGGGCGCCTCTGCCCGGCCACCCCTACTGGGAGGTGAGGAGCCCCTCTGCCCGGCCACCACCCTGTCTGGGAGGTGTGCCCAGCAGCTCATTGAGAACGGGCCATGATGACAATGGCGGTTTTGTGGAATAGAAGAGGGGGAAAGGTAGGGAAAAGATTGAGAAATCGGATGGTTGCCGTGTCTGTGTAGAAAGAAGTAGACATGGGAGACTTTTCATTTTGTTCTGTACTAAGAAAAATTCTTCTGCCTTGGGATCCTGTTGATCTGTGACCTTACCCCCAACCCTGTGCTCTCTGAAACATGTGCTGTGTCCACTCAGGGTTAAATGGATTAAGGGCGGTGCAAGATGTGCTTTGTTAAACAGATGCTTGAAGGCAGCATGCTCGTGTCATCACCACTCCCTAATCTCAAGTACCCAGGGACACAAACACTGCGGAAGGCCGCAGGGTCCTCTGCCTAGGAAAACCAGAGACCTTTGTTCACTTGTTTATCTGCTGACCTTCCTTCCACTATTGTCCTATGACCCTGCGAAATCCCCCTCTGCGAGAAACACCCAAGAATGATCAATAAAAAAAAAAAAAAACAAACAAACAAACAAAAAAAAAACCACGGCCTTTGTTATGTTTCTTAATCTCTGTAAATTAGCATAGATGCCATCTCCTGTCTCCCCTCCCCCATTTTTGACATTGTCATGTTGATAGACCAGGTCAATTTTTCTTTAGAACTCTTCTTCTGGGTTTATCTGATTTTTTTCTTCGTGTTGTATTTCCCTGTATTTCTCCAGTGTATAACCTGTATATCACCTGTATTTCCTGTAAACTAGAAGTTATATATGAAGTCTTGACTGTATCAAATTAAAGAATTTTTAAAGCAAAAAAAAAATAAATAAAAATAAATAAATTTTATTTTATTTTTAAGATAGAGTCTTACTCTGTCACCCAAGCTGGAATGCAATGGCACAATCTTGGCTCACTGCAACCTCCAACTCCCAGGTTCAATCAATTCTTCTGTCTCAGCTTCCAAAGTAGCTGGAACTACAGGTGCCCACCACCATTTACAGCTAATTTTTGTATTTTTAGTAGAGATGGAGTTTTGCCATGTTGGCCCGGCTAGTCTCAAACTCCTGACCTCAAGTGATCCCCTGCCTCAGCCTCCCAAAGTGCTCAGATTACAGGCATGAACCACCACACTTGGCCCACAATAGTAATTATACAAAACGAAAACACCTTGTACCTTCTCAGAGCTGAGCTGATGGGGAGTGGTTGATGGTGAAAATCTGTCTCCAAGATCACCATGAAGCGGCTCCCACTTGCCCTGCCTAATGACAGGTGGCTCTGAAGACTATGGATTAAGCAAGCGAGGCCTGGACAGGCCTTGGTGGAATGGAGAGGATGGCACACCTTGGGGTGAAGGGAGTCTGAGGGCAGAGCCCAAAGCAGGTGACCCAGCAGCACCATCCTCCATGGGAGCCCAGAGGGGCCAGGGCACATGGGAGGGGCTGTGGCTTCCTCAGGCCCAGTCTCAGGGGGCAGGGAGGTGGCATGGTACAATGGCAAGTGTCGGCACTGGGGTCCAAGGTGGGGGAATCTCAGCTCTGCCACCCACAGACACCACCTGTGGCCAGGGTGGAGGGCTTCATCCCATCCACTCCTTACTGTTCCTCCTGGAGGCAGGCGCTGTATTATCCCAGTTGCAGATTAGAGGGCTTGGTCAGCTGCAAAAAGCAAGAAGCCAGGGACACGCAGCTTGAGTGGTGGCAGGAGATTTGGACCCGGTCTCCGTGTGGCTCTAGGGCCTCAGCATTTTTTTTTTTTTTAAGATGGAGTCTCACTCTGTCACCCAGGCTGGAGTGCAGTGGCACAATCTCGGCTCACTGCACTCTCCGACACCTGGGTTCAAGCAATTCTCCTGCCTCAGCCTCCTGAGTATCTGGGATTACAGGCGCCTGCCACCACGCCCAGCTAATTTTTGTAGTTTAGTAGAGACAGGGGCTCACCATCTTGGCCAGGCTAGTCTTGAACTCCTGACCTTGTGATTCACTTGCCTCGGCCTCCCAAAGCTTTTTTTTTTTTTTTTTTTTTTTTTTTTTTTTTTTTGAGACAGGGTCTTGCTCTTTCCCCAAGGCTGGAGTACAGTGCAGTGGTGTGATCATACCTCATTGTAGCCTCCAGTTCTTGAGCTCAATTGATCCTCTTGCCTCAGTCTCCCAAGTTGCTAGGATTACAGGCGGGAGCCACTACCCCTGGCTACTTTAAGCCTCAGCTTTTAACCTGCCTTGACCAACAGCCAGCAGGACTCTCAAGAGGATACTCCCACGTGGAAGAATGGGGGGCTAGGGCATTCAGCTCCATTCATGGAGAATGGCAGGGGGCTTCTTTGCATTCCCTTGGGGTTCACCCAAAAGCCCATAGTAGTCTGCCCTTGCCCACAAACTCCCCAAATCCCTCAAATCTGAATGTGCCCTTTGGAGGCCCAGGCTGCTGCTGTGGGAAGCAGGTGATGCAGAGAGGCTTTACGGGATGGGGGCGAGAATCGATTTCTGGCAACCTTGCTGCAAGGCTGAGATGGGCCTCTCCTCTTGTCACTGCATGTGCCAGCAGATCACTCCTGGGGCCTCAGTTTCCCCATGTGATCTATGATGGTATCGCGTGCTATGTAAACCAAAGCACCATCCCACAGCTGTGTTAGGAAACAGGCTTAGTGAGCTGAAGGGGCTTGTCTGGAGCTATTAGAGATCTAAATGCAGGCCTGACATAGACCTGCCTCCCAGTCCCAGATGGAGGGCCTCTGGACTCTTACCCTGTTATCAGGCCACGCACTCAACACGACTGTCCCCTCACTCACACTGTTTCTTGGGATTCCTGCCAATTGTGCCAGACTAGACAACTGACCCAGTGTCCCAGAGACTCAGTGGCGTGGGACACAATCTAAGAGGGAGCTTGAACTGGAAGGAGGCCAAGTCTCTGCCAGGACCATGCCCAGAAGCAGCTGACTGATGGGAAAGAGGCAGAGAAGGCCTGAGGGCAGTGGAGGTGAGGGAGCGCTGAGCTCCAACTTCCATTTCACTACCTCCCTTGGCTGCCCCTGAGTTTGGCAGGCTGGGTCTTTTCAGCAAATATCTTTTTTTTTTTTTGAGACAAGAGTCTCGCTGTTGCCCAGGCTGGAGTGCAGTGGTGCAATATTGACTCAAGCAATTCTTGTGCCTCAGCCTCCTGAATAGCTAGGATTACAGGTGCACATCACCACGCCTGAGCTAATTTTTGTATTTTTAGTAGAGATGGGGTTTCTCCATGTTGGCCAGGCTGATCTTGAACTCCTGACCTCAGGTGATCCTCGTCCTCCCAAAGCGCTGGGATTACAGACGTGAGCCATTGCACCTGGCCCAATATAAAGAAATGTTTTAAATTGCTTACTTCCCCTATCTTCTCAGACCCTAAATGTTTGAAGATGGTGCTCTAGGTGGTTTAATATGCGGCTTCAAGGACTTTGAGTATGTCACCATCTCTTCCAAGGCATGTGGACGCAGACCTGATGGGCTGTTCATCAGAGGGCCCCACTGAGGACAGGACCTCTTCCTAACCTTGGTGGGGTGCAGCATAGGGGGTGCCTCGCTGGGCTGAACCCCCTCTTCAAGAGGGCAGCCCAGAGCCCCTAAGCCCCCAACCAATGAGAGGCAGGATCCCTGCGTCGTGGCTGCCGAGGCCTGGGGTGATGCCCTAATGGTGCCTTGTGGAAAAGCAGGGAGTGAGACCCTAGCTTCTGGGTCCCAGGGCTCCAGTTGAGTTGGGGCTCTGCCATACGATTATAACCATCATCGAAGCCCCTCATTTTCAGTATTTTAGTGGAGGAGCTGCAAGGCTGCCCCAGGCCAGGTCTGTGTCCCCTGAGCCAGGTTCCCCCAGCATCACTGCCTAGTCTGTGACCTTGGTGAGTCACTTTTCCTTTTTGAGCACCAGTTTCCTGATTTTTTTTTTTTTTTGAGAGTGTTTCTCTTCTTGCCCAAGCTGGAGTGCAATGGCGTGATCTCGGCTCACTACAACCTCCGCCTCCAGGGTTCAAGCAATTCTCCTGCCTCAGCTTCCCAAGTAACTGGGATTACAGGCATGCAGGCATGCAACACCATGCCTGGCTAATTTTTTGTATTTTTAGTAAAGATGGAGTTTCACCATGTTGGCCAGGCTGATCTCAAACTCCTGACCTTGTGATCCACCTGCCTTGGCCTCCTAAAGTGCTGGGATTACAGGCGTGAGCCACCATGCCCGGCCTCCCAGTTTCCTGATTTGTAAAGCACAGATAAAAATGAAAATATCAACAACCTCACAGAGCAGTTCAAGATAGTATCTAGCGAGTGAGTGCTCAGTCATAGTAGTGGGTGCTCAGTCAGTAGTCAATGTCATCACTGCTGGCATTCCCATCACTCCCCCAATGCCCACATGGCGGCTCAGGCACCCTCCACTCCTCCCTGATGGGGTTACTTCCCCCTTCTCTTGTCCCTGCCCCTGCACCTGAGGAGTATGAGGCACCAGGCCACTGTAGCAGGTCCACAGGCCATCAATGCTTTAATTTTGTCAGAGGCAGGCACTGAGCAGCCCTGCTGAGGTCTCCCCAGCTACTGTGCCACAACCAGCTCGGAGCTGCCACTCTAACAGCAGAGTGGAGAGCTGGGGTCAGGGCCATAGCCCCCGGGCTGAGGAGGCCTTCTTGCAGGACCCCAACCACAGAACGAGTGGTCTTCACAACACCTGCGGCCTGCGGACTCCGTTTTTTGCCAAGGAGTCTGAGATGCTTCATGCCCATCAGACCATGGGGTGGCCTTCATGGGAGACCTGCAGGGCCAGGCTGGCCAGACTTGGCCAGAAAGACTTCCCAGGGAAGATGCTTGGCTCTCTGCTCCAAGGTGGGCCATGGTATAGGGCCCTCGAAGGGCTTGTGGCTGGGGTGATCCCAGGGGGCATTGCTCAAAGTGCACAGGAGGTGGCAGCAGGGTCAGGCGAGTTCCTGTTCCAGGGACATCAGGAGGGAGGGTAGAAGCCTAGGGAGTGTGCGAGGCTGCTGGGATGAGGGAGCTCAGGGGCTACCAGCTAACCAGCCTCAGCTCAATGGTTTCTCCATCCTTGGGTCTGTAGTCAGCAATACCTGCAGAAACAGATTGAGCAAGGAGGGGCGAATTGGGCAGAATATCGCACCCCGCAACCTCATCTTCCAGACCCCCCACCCTGAGGCTAGAGTCTGTAAGAATCCACCTGGGGCTTGGTGGTGGGAAGCTGGAACCTCCCTAAAGCCTGCTCAAAGACTCTGAACTCAGCTTCCCACAGGGTTCCTGAGGCCATGACCTCATCTGGTAATAAAAACACCTGACAGGCAGGGCCACTGTCTTTGTAATACCCTAGGGACCATCAGGAAGAGAAACTTGCGCAGTGCAGTCTGGAGAGAGAACCAGGACCACGCAGAAGTCTCCCAGGAGTCAGCTTTCACTCACTACACAGAATCCAGGCTCTAGGAGGACGCCTGGATTCAAGCCCCAGCTCTGTCATTCATTACTGCTGTGACTCTGGACAAGTTATTTAACCTCTGAGTGAGTGTCGCTGCTCTTGTTGGTGATGTGGGAATGCAGCCTGCAGGGGAACTGAAAGGGCCCTTTGAGATAGCCAGGTGTCAGAAATGTTTCCTTTCAATGGAGGTGCTATGGTCTAAAATGTCTGTGTCCCCCCAAAATGTATATGTTAAAACCTAACCCCAAAGGTGATGGTATCAGGAGGCCTTAGGGCCTTTGGGAGATGATTAGGTCATGAGAGTAGAGCCTCATCAATGGGATAGGAAAGTGCCATTATAGGCCGAGCAGGGTGGCTCATACCTAGAATCCCAGCACTTTGGGAGGCCAAGGCAGGCAGATCACTTGAGTTCAGAAGTTCGAGACCAGCCTATGCAACATGGTGAAACCACATTTCTACTAAAAATACAAAAAATTAGCTGGGCTTTGTGCCATGGGCCTATGGTCACACGTACTCAGGAGGCTGAGGTGGGAGGATCGCTTAAGCCAGGGAGGCAGAGGTTGCAGTGAGCTGAGATTGTGATACTGCACTCAGCGTGGGTGACAGAGTGAGACCCCCATCTCAAAAAAAAAAATTTTTAAGTACCATTATAAAAGAGGTTCCTTCAGCAGGCAAGGGCCAGGAAAATATTTTTTTTTTTTAAATTAAAAAACAAGGCCCCAGAAAGTTGCCATGTTCCTTCCACCATGTGAGAACACAGCCAGCAGGTAACACCAGAAAGTGGGCCCCCATCAGACACTGAATCTGTCAGTGTCCTGATCTGGGACTGCCCACCCAACCTCCAGAACTGTTAAGAAATACATTTCTGTTATTTTATTTCATTTTGAGATGGAGTTTCACTCTTGTTGCCCAGGCTGAAATGCAATGGCGTGATCTCAGCTCACGGCAACCTCCGCCTCCTGGGTTCAAGCGATTCTCCTGCCTCAGCCTCCTGAGTAGCTGGGATTACAGGTGCCCGCCACCACCCCCAGCTAATTTTTTGTATTTTTAGTAGAGACAGGGTTTCACCATGTTGGTCAGGCTAGTCTTGAACTACTGATCTCAGGTGATCCACCTGCCTTGGCCTCCCAAAGTGCTGGAATTATAGGCATGAGCCACCGCACCCGGCCTCATTTCTGCTGTTTATAAGCCACCCAGTTTATGGTATTTTGTAATAGCAGCTTCAATGGACTAAGACAAAAGAGAACTCAAATTATAACTCCCATCCACTTTCCACCCCAAGGAAGATAGAGGAGTGATTTATGCAACTGGTTGATTTGGGAAGAATAAACTAGGCATGTGTAGCCTGGGCGCTATTTTTCTCCTGGGAGCGGGCTTCCTTCTAGACTCAAGGGCAGAGGGGGAAGGAGATAGAGGCTACAACTGCCCAGGTCTGCTTCCTGGCTGGGTCCACCTAGCTCTCACCCTCCTGTCTTTATCAGTAATAGAACTGGCCAGACTTGGGGTCTCCATCTGTAGCTCCTATTTTTTATTCCTCAATTTATTCAGAATGAGGGCAAGAAAAGAATGCTTTTTTGTGGGCTCCCTCAGAAAGTCCCACCTTCTCTATAAGCACTCGCCACAATGCTTGACACATGGTAAGTGCCCCATAAAAGTTCTTCAGGGGTGGAGTATCAAAGCAACTTAAATAACAAGAGTAGGAACAGATGACTTTTAAGGGTCTGTTTGCAGGCCAGGCGTGGTGGCTCACGCCTGTAATCCCAGCACTTTGGGAGGCTGAGGCAGGCAGATCACTTGAGGTCAGGAGTTTGAGACCAGCCTGGCCAACATGGTGAAACCCCGTCTCTACTAAAAATACAAAAATAACTGGGCATGGTGGCACACACCTGTAATCCCAGCTACTTGGGAGGCTGAGGCAGGAGAATTGCTTGAGCTCAGAAGGCAGAGGCTGCAGTGAGCTGAGACCTCGCCATTGTACTCCGGCCTGGGCAACAGAGCAAGACTCCATCTCAAAAAAAAAAAATATATATATATATATATATGTGTGTGTGTGTGTGTGTATATATGTATACATATATATGTGTGTATATATGTATACATATATATGTGTGTATATATGTATACATATATATGTGTGTGTATATATGTATACATATGTGTGTGTGTATATATGTATACATATATATGTGTGTATATATATGTATACATATATATGTGTGTATATATGTGTGTATATATGTGTGTATGTATGTGTATGTATGTGTGTGTATATGTGTGTGTATGTGTGTGTATATATGTGTATGTGTGTATATATGTATACATATATATGTGTGTATATATATATACATATATATGTGTGTATATATATGTATACATATATATGTGTGTCTGTATATATATATATTTCATATATATGTATACACATATATGAAATTTTTAAGTTATACATGTGGGCAACATTAAATTTCCACTGGATAGCATGGCTCCATTTTTTATGAAAAACTTACTGCCATATTTTTAAAAAGTATCTAGAAGAAAAGTTAAGTAATTTTGGCTGGGTGCGGTGGCTCATGCCTGTAATCCCAGAACTTTGGGAGGCAGAGGCAGGCAGACCACTTGGGCTCTAGGAAGGCTGAGGTGGAAGAATCACATGAACCCAGGAGGCGGAGGTTGCAGCGAGCCGAGATCATACCGCTGCACTCCAGCCTGGGCAACAAGAGCGAAACTCCATCTCAAAATAAAAGACGTTATTCCTAGGTAGTATATCCTAGGTGATGTTAATTTTCTTCTAGTTTTTTTTTTTTTTTGTAATCTGTCTGGTTTCCTAGAATTTCCACAGTAACTTGCATAAAAATTCTAAGGCTTCAGTTCAATATATTATATCCAACTTTGAGCATCAGTGATTTTGTGAAGGTGTGGCCCAGGAGGGTGCTAGGGAAAGCTGGGGTGAGTTGATGAAGCCTCTTGGCTGAGTAAGCTTGGGGTAGGGGACACATCCAGAGTGTCAGGCCATGACTCACCTTGCAACAGTGGGGTGTTGGGGTCTCGGAGAAGCTGCCAGAACTCCCTTTCTCCGGCCGCTTTCCCCATCACGGAGGTTAAGTAGGGGCCTGACAAGGAGGCCTGTGTTTCATATCTACAGAAGGGAAAGGCAAATGGGGAGAGAAGAGGTGGCTGTTGTCCCTAAGGGGAGAGGCAGTGCTCACCCACAGCAGCAAAATCCCTTCCAAGCTCTTTGGGCCGACACTCGTCAAACCCTTCCCAGGCCACCTGGCCACAGGTCTGTGATCTCAACTTCCACCTCCTTCCCCTCCAGACCCCCGATCCTGCCTGCTCAGGCTTCATCCTCTCCACGCTGACCATGACCATGGCCTCCAGGAAAGGGGCATCTATTATGTTATCAGCTCAGCAGTTGTCCCCTCTCTGGGGGGCTGATGTTATGGGGGATGAGAATCAGAAGCTGCTGGTGTCACCTAGAATGTGTACAATGTACAACGAGAGAGGGTGAAGCCTGCATACAGAGACAGGCAGGGTCATGGGAAGTGGAGGCAGAGACACCTGGCAGTGGCACTGGGTCTCTGTGGCTCAGTGGCATTCCCCTCTTCTCGGGGCTGCATGGCTCAGCCTCCTCTCTGATTCTACATGCTCTACACCCGCTGTTGTGGAGAGGCTTGGAGTTCGGTTTCTGGCCCTGGCAGCCAAGAGACTCCTCAACTCACACTCCCCCTTCCCTGAGCTTCTGGCCTTCAACTTTGAGTTTCTGCACTCCGTCTGGATGCCACTGCCACAGGAAGCCTCTTAAAACTCCGTGGGCCTGGGCCAGGCACAGTGGCTCAACCCTGTAATCCCAGTACTTTGGGAGGCCAAGGCAGGCAGATCACCTGAGGTTGGGAGTTCGAGACCAGCCTGACCAACATGAAGAAACCCCATCTCTACTAAAAACACAAAATTAGCCAGGTGTGGTGGTTCATGCCAGTAATCCCAGCTACTGGGGAGGCTAAGGCAGGAGAACCGCTTGAACCCGGGACGTAGAGGTTGCAGTGAGCTGAGATCGTACCATTGTACCCCAGCCTGGGCAACATGAGCAAAACTCCATCTCAAAACAAAACAAAACAAACTCCGTGGGCCACGTCCTTCATCCCTCCCACAGGAGAAAGCAGCATGATCAGGGCTTCCCCTGGAAGAAGGGCTTCAAGAGATGAGTGGGATTTGCCAGAGGAGAAGGGAGGAGAGCGGGGCAGAGCTGAGAGGAGGCAGAGAGAAGAAAGGCACACAGGTGCACAGAATTTGGGGGAATGGTCTTTCAAAAGAGCAGGGTCAGGCCAGGCACTGTGGCTCATGCTTGTAATCCCAGCACTTTGGGAGGCCAAAGCGGGTGGATCACTTGAGGTCAGGAGTTCATGACCAGCCTGGACAACATGGTGAAACCCCATCTCTACTAATAATACAAAAATTAGGCTGGGCATGGTGGTGCACACCTGTAATCCCAGCTATTCAGGAGACTGAGGCAGGAGAATCACTTGAACCTAGTAGGCGGAGGTTGCAGTGACCTGAGGTCGCACCACTGCACTCCAGCCTGGGTAACAGAGCAAGACTGCTTCTCAAAAACAAAACCAAGCAAACAAACAAAAAACAACAAATGAGCAGGTTCTGGGAGAATGCAAATGACTGAAAAGGAGGTGAGACCGTCAAAGTAACAGGGAAGTGATGTGAACAAACGCATCTTCTACAAAGTGCTCTCTGGGGTAATACAGCCCTAAGTTATCGATGGTTGCAGTCTTAGAGGGATTTTTTTGGTTTTAAGAAACACAGGTGGGGCGCGGTGGGTCACATCTGTAATCCCAGCACTTGAGGAGGCGGAGGTGGGTGGATCACCTGAGGTTGGGAGTTTGACACCAGCCTGGCTCACATGGTGAAACCCTATTTCTACTAAAAATACAAAAACTAGCCAGGTGTGATGGTGGGCCCCTGTAATCCCAGCTGCTCAGGAGGCTGAGGCAGGAGAATCGCTTGAACCCAGGAGGTGGAGGTTGCAGTGAGCCGAGATCGTGCCACTGCACTCCAGCCTGGGCGACTGAATGCAACTCCGTCTCAAAACAACAACAACAACCACCACCCTATTTGGGGTGACTTTAGCGAAGGGAAACTACTGTTCTAAGGAATGTCACAGAGTAGCCCTTTTCCCATTCCTTAACTCTGCAGGGCCATGTGGCTGCACAGGGCTACCTCTCTCCACATCTGTCTATCTGTGTCTGCAGTTGAGCTTTCTCTGCTGTGCATTCAGGGGCCTCAAACATAGTCTTCATGCCTGAACCCAGTTGAGGCATCCATGCACACTAACAAGAGAACCATTTCTCAGACTGGAGTCCACAGTGTCTTCCCAGAGATCCCCGAGCTCTGAATAAAAACGTTAAATTCTAATTGTCTTTCATTTTGATGACAATATTCAAACATGAATACCAGCTGGTTCTGGGTAATCTCAGTCTGTGGGTCTGAGCCCTCCCAAGGGCACTCAGCCTATGCGTGGCCATCAGTGACTGCGCTGGTGCCCAGCAGCATTGCGTTATGTGCCATAGGCCACAGGAAGGAAACGGAGGTGGCCCTCATAGTGAATGAAGTGGCTGAGCCAGGCCAGGAGTGCCCAGGCTTCACTGCAGCTTGAATACAGGGAGGTGCTAAAGTGCAGGCCAGCACCTCCGCAGAGCATCCTTATTTGAATGGTATTGGTTTTTATACTTTTCTATTTAATTTATAAAGTTGTTGGGGATTTATAGCTGTCTAGAGCTAGAAAGAGAAAGGACTTTTTTTGTGTGTGGTAGAGACGGGCTTTCGCCACGTTGGCCCGGCTGGTTTTGAACTCCTGGCCTCAAGTAATCTGCCCACCTTGGCCTCCCAAAGTGCTGGGATTACAGGTGTTAGCCATCACACTCAGCCCTTTGTCTTTTAAAAAAAAAAAAAAAGTTTTGTCATCCAGGCTACAGGACAGTGACGTCATCATAGCTTGCTGCCGCCTTGAACTCCTGGGCTCAAGCAGTCCTCCCACCTCAGCCTTCTGGGTAGCTAGGATTATAGGTGCACACCATCATGCCCAGCTAATTAAAAAAATTTTTTTGAAGAGATGGCAGTCTCACTATGTTGCCCAGGCTGGTCTCAAACTCCTAGGCTCAAGTGATCCTCCTGCCTCAGCCTCCCAAATCACTGGAATTACAGGAGTGAGCCACCAGCTCTGGCCAAAGACTTTATATTTAATAAAATTATCAGTACACATCTAAGTGATATTATAGAAGAAATAACTTAACCTGGGGTCTGGGAGAATGTTTGTACTTCAGAGGAGTCTTTGCATTTCTCCGGTCTGAGATTCTCTAGCCTAGAGGACCCGAAGGAACCAACTGTGGGCCCTCCCTGGATGCAGGATGCTGTTTTCCAGGAACTCCCACTGGGGACAGAGATAGGCCCATGATTCTAGGGGAGAAGTCTGTGGTGTGCGTGACCTGGTGGAAGGCATTCAACTTCTCTGGGCTGGACTCCCCACTGATAACATGAGAATTACATTCATCTTATTTCATCATGGACAGGACCTGTCAAACAACAGTCCAGACATGCTCATTCTCAAACTATTCTAAGCTCAGGGTGAGAAGCAAGTGTAAGGACATTGTCCAACCTCTTTGAGGTAATTAATAACAGGATAGGGCCAAACTTATTTCATAATAAAAGTTCTTATTCTGGCCAGCCACGGCGGCTCACGCCTGTTATCTCAGCACTTTGGGAGGCCAAGGTGGGTAGATCGCTTGAGTCCAGGAGTTTGAGACCAGTCTGGGCAACATGAAGCAATCCCATGTCTACAAAAAATTTTAAAAAAATATTTGCCAAGCGTGGTGGCGCATGCCTGTTGTTCCCAGCTACCTGGGAGGCTAAGGTGGGAGGATCAGAGCCCGGAAGATTGAGGCTACAGTGAGCTGTGATTGTGCCACTGCACTCTAGCCTAGGTGACAGAGTAAGACCCTGTCTCAAATAAAATAAAAGTTCTTATTCTGGGCCAGGCATAGTGGCTCATGCCTGTAATCCCGGCACTTTGGGAGGCTGAGGCAGACATATCACTTGAGGTCAAGAGCTCAAGACCAGCCTGGCCAAAATGGCAAAATTCCATCTCTACTCAAAATATAAACATTAGCCAGGTATGGTGGTGCATGCCCATAGTCCCAGCTACTCGGGAGACTGAGGAAGGAGAATCGCTTGAACCTGGGAGGTAGATGCTGCCATGAGCTGAAATTGTGCCACTGCAACCCAGTCTGGGCGACAGAGGGAGACTCCATCTCAAAAAAAAGTAGATGGGTGTGGTGGTGCATGCCTGTAGTCCCTGTTACTTGGATAATTTGAGGCTGCAGTGAGCTATGAATGTGCCACTGCACTTCAGCCTGGATAACAGAGAGAGACCTTGCCTAAATAAATACATGGCCGGGCACGGAGGCCCATGCCTGTAATCCCAGCACTTTGGGAGGCCGAGGCAGGCAGATCACCCGAGTTCAGGAGTTAGAAACCAGCTGGCCAACATAGTAAAACCCTGTCTCTACTAAAAATACAAAAATTAGCTGGGCATGGTGGCACGCGCCTGTAGCGCCAGCTACTCAGGAGGCTGAGGCAGGACAATCACTTGAACCCAGGAGACGGAGGTTGCAGTGAGCCGAGATTGCGCCACTGCACTCCAGCCTAGGTGAAAGAGAGAGGCTCTGTCTCGAAATAAATAAATAAATAAAAATAAACAAATACACAAACACGAGTTGGGCCTCCAGAGCCTGGGTAATAGAGTGAGACTCTGTCTCAAAAAAAAAAACAAAAAAAACCAGTTATTATTCTGGCTGAGCATGATGGCTCGCACCTATAATCCCAATATTTTGAGCGCCTCAGGTGTGAGGATGGTTTGAGGCCAGGAATTTGAGACCAGCCTGGGCAACAGACAGAGACCCTATCTCAAAAAAAAAAAAAAAAAAAATTACCCAGGGTTGTGTGGCACGTGCCTATAGTCTCAGCTATTTGGGAGGCTGAGGCAGGACAGTAGGGTTGCTTCATCCCCAGAGTTCGAGACTGCAGTGAGACGTGATTGCACAATTACACTCCAGCCTGGGTGATAAGATTGAGACCCTGTCTCTTAAAAACAAACAAACAAACAAACAAAAAACAGTTCTTACTCTGATGAAAGCAACGCTGTGTTGAGCGCTTGCTATGTGCTGGACCTTGCACATATAAAAAGCACATGCCACTATCTCTATGTGTACTAACTCCTGGACTCTTCACACTGGCCCTGCAGGGAAGGGGCACAACTGTTCTCCTCGGTGAATTGTGGGTGCCTACCTGGAACCTAGCTGGTTAGAGTTGGGATTCCAACTGGGGGGCTCTGCCTCCAAAGCCTGCTCTCTCAGTGACAATGCTGGCCTATGGCTCCCTGTTTCCATAACACCGTGGGCAAGAAAGGAGCTGAGCAGGTAGAAGCAGAAGCAGGGCCAGTGTCTCTCCCGAGGGAACCCTCTCCTCTGTTCCCCGTCTCTTCTGTGACCCTGTTATCAGGCATGTGAGGTTGGGTGGGGTGAGGACTGGGAGGTGGGAGTCTCACGTGAATCCTCCTAACTCATGGGCCTTCTTCAGGACATCTTCCACGGTGGACCCGGCCAGAACAGAGATGGACTGTCTGTACGGCGGCAAGAGACTAAGCACCTGCAGCGTGACACTGATGATCTCTTGGGTCTGAGGAATGGTCTCAGCAGCTGGTTCCAACATGACTGTGCCAGGAAGAAAGGGGCGGGCAGCTGGTGTGAGGACAGAGAGCCTGGATTATTTGTCTTCTTGTCTTCCCTCAAGGACACCTGGACTTTGTCCTTCCCCATGTCCTCATCTCCATCAATGCCACCGCCACCTGCTCAGCTGAAACCTGGCTTCCATCCCGGCCTCCCCTGTCCCTCATTCCCCACCACCTGGCTTCCATCCCGGCCTCCCCTGTCCCTCATTCCCCACCACCCAAGATCAGGCCCCTCACTGGTTTCTCTGCTTCCAGTATCCTTCCTCCCACCTCTCTGGCACCTAGCACTCCAGAGGGCTCTTCCTAGAACATGCATTTGTTCACAACGCATCTCTGTTACCCTGATGCGCTCACCTTCTCTTCATTCATCTGCTTTCCACTCCCACTCATTCTCCCAGATCCCACTCTTTTGCAAGACCATTCCTCAAAATTCCCCCAAACTCTGTGCACCTCTGTGTCTTTGTTCTTCCTGCCTCTTCTTGGCTCCACTCTATCCATTCTTGTTTTTTCTGGAGACAGAGTCTCACACTGTCGCCCAGGCTGAAGTGCAATGGCGCGATCTCGGCTCACTGCAACCTCTGTCTCCCAGGTTCAAGTGATTCTTGTGGCTCAGCCTCCCTAGTAGCTGGGATTATAGGTGTCTACCACCATGCCTGGCTAATCTTTCGTATTTTAGTAAAGACAGGGTTTCACCATGTTGCCCAGGCTGGTCTCAAACTCCTGGGCTCAGGCAATCCATCTGCCTCAGCTTCCCAGAGTGCTAGGATTATAAGCACGAGCCACCATGTCCAGCTTCCTTCTTCTCCATTTTTTTTTTTTTTTTTTGAGACATAGTCTTACTCTGTCACCCAGACTGGAGTGCAGTGGCATGATCTTGGCTCACTGCAACCTCCACCTCTGAGGTTCAAGTGATTCTCTTGCCTCAGCCTCCTGAGTAGCTTAGCTGGGGTTACAGGCACTCGCCACCACACCCAGCTACTTTTTTGTATTTTTAATAGATGGAGTTTCGCCATGTTAGCCAGGCTGGTCTCGAACTCCTGACCTCAGGTGAGCCACCCGCCTCGGCCTCCCAAAGTGTTGGGATTACAGGCATGAGTCACTGCACCTGGCCTCTTTCTCCATTCTTAATTGGCAAATCCCAGTCACGTCCTCAGACCCTCTCTCAGAGAAAGCCTGGATCATGCTGCTACTGGGGCTTATCATGTTGTATTAGAGTTAACCAAAATGTGTCTCTCCTCATCCATCCATCCATCCATCCATCCATCCATCCATCCATCCATCCATCCAAACATTTCTGTACTGGGTATCACACAAGCGATATGCCCAGGGATCTCCATTTACTGTCTTCCTCCCCACACTGTGAGCTTCTAGAAGCTATGACCACATTTTGGCTGCTGTGTCCCATGCACACCCACAATCTTGTGCTGACTCAGCAAATCAGGATGAAGCAACCTCCCCTCACTGGGACGTCAATGGGTGCGCAGCAGATTGTAAAGGGCTGTGCTTCCACAAAAAGTTGGGCTACCTCGTGGTGCCAGACAGTCTGGGAAGATCAGATCAATGTAGGTCTTGTGGTTCAGAACGGGCAGCAGCTGGGAAATCATGAGAGCATTCTGGAAGGCTCCATCCTGCAGACTGGCCAGCAAAGCAACCCTCGCCTTGAGACATGCTGTTCCCAGTTCTGCCCCACGCATGGGGGAAGTCATGAGGAACTGGTGATAGAGTGAGGAAGAGAGAGAGGAAGTCAGCCGGCAGGGAGGGGCTAGGTGTTCCAGCACCTGACCACTCCACCCCTGACTGTTCCCCAGGGTGGCCATGGCTCCAGGGTCTCTTTCCCACCTGTAATGCCAATGGGGTGCTGTAGACATTCCCAAAGTGGCCCTCGGGGGTCTGGGCCTTCAAGATCTCCTCTCGCACTGTTCTGATGGCCATGGTGATCCGTTGTCTCCGACCAGGGTTGAAGTTTGAGCGCTTCAGACAGGTGAATGCCAAGCCTGCCATGGCTGCTGTGTCTTGAAGTGGGGGACAGAACATGCAATGAGCTGGAGAGCCAAAGGGGCCAGGACAGGCAGGGGCTTGAGGGTCAGGCCCTTGTAGCTATGGACAACCACAGGAGGGCTTGGAGAAGAAGGGCAACATGGTCAGATCAGCTAAGGGCACCAACTCAACCTGGTCTGCCCAAGACTTTCCTTGTCTGGACTCTGAAAATCCTGTGTCCCAGGAAACTGCTCATTTCTGGGCAAACTGGTTTGGCTGATCACTCTGCAACTTGAGGGCTAGAGGTTAGGGAGAAGGACTGGAGGAGGGAGGCCCAAGAGGACTTGACCCCATACCACCTATTTCCAAACTTAGCTGCACATTGGAATCACTAGGGGAGTTTTATTTTATTTTTTATTTTTTGAGACAGAGTCTCACTCACTCTGTTGCCCAGGCTGGAGGGCAGTGGTGCGATCTCCACTCACTGCAGCCTCCGCCTCCCAGGTTCAAGTGATTCTCCTGCCTCAGCCTCCCGAGTAGCTGGGACTACAGGCATGTGCCACCATGCCCGGCTAACTTTTTTATTTTTAGTAGAGATGGGGTTTCACCACGTTGTCTTGAACTCCTGGCCTCAAGAGATCCACCTACCAGCTCCAAAGCTGGCTCACAGCTGAAGCATCACCCATGAGCCCTCGCCAATTCGTCCCTAAAGGACTTGATTCGGAGGAGCCCCAAGGAAAGGTGAGTGTGGGGGCCAGGGTATGGAGGTCATCAGTGCAGACCTGGGGACTGAGGGAGTGCCAGCCTGGCCTTGGCACGGTCTGACCTACTCACCCACAGAATGGTGGCCCTGGTGGAAAGGTTCCACAGCATACAGAAGTTTGTCCACCACGCTGTCATGGACCCGCTTCTGGTGGAGACACAGGGCCAGAATGCCCAGGCCATACTGGTAGTAGCTAGTGTGGGGGTGGCCCTTGTGATCATGCCCTGAGAGGGAAAAAAACAGAGGGGTTGCCTCTCTGCCCCCACCCAGCAGCCAGCCCCGCCAGCACCTGGGACCCTGGCCTGCACTTTCCAACACGCTCTTTTGGGTCATGGGATCCTTCATTCCTTCATTGCCTCAGCCCATACGTGCTGAGGTCTCACTGTGTGTCAGGCACTGTGCTTAGAGGAAGCAGGAGACCCATGGCAGACAGGCACTGCGCAGTTCGGGCCTCAACCACAGCAATTGCTCATGCGACTGCAATTGCAACGAGAATGCAGACCAAGTAGTGATATTTGGGTGGCTGGGAAGTCAAGGCAGGATTCTCCAAGGAGGTAATGCTGGAGACGGCTGAGGATGGGTGGAGGCAGAGCCAAAGGTAGAGCAGGAGTGAACTGCACGCAGGGAAGCCAGTCCAGATGGAGGGAGCCTGTATGAAAAAACTGGCTTATGAGTTGAGAGATGGTATGGCTGGAGCCCACAGAGGGCAGGTGTGTGGGAGGCAGAGAATGGATGAGCACAGCCTGGGCAGAAGGTAAGGGTAGACAGGCTGGGCCATGGAGCAGTGCGAGGCCCCTGCAGGGTTTAAGCAGTGCCAGCAAGATCAGGTTTATATTGAAAAGGCTGGCTCTGGCTGTTGTATGCTGGGTCAAGTCAGGGCAGGAGAGCTAGTAGAGACAGACTATGGCGTAAGTCATAAGCAGGCTGTCCAGTTGTCCCGAAGGTGGATAATCAAGTCAATCTTGGTGGCTAGCCAATACAAGGCTTGTCAGTGGGCCTAACGCAGTGGCTCATGCCTGTAATCCCAGCACTTTCGGAGGCTAAGGCAAGCGGATCACCTGAGGTCAGGAGTTCGAGACCAGCCTGACCAACATGGAGAAACCCCACGTCTACTAAAAATACAAAATTAGCTGGGTGTGGTGGCGCATGCCTGTAATCCCAGCTACTCAGGAGGCTGAGGCAGGAGAATTGCTTGAACCCAGGAGGCAGAGATTGCGGTGAGCTGAGATTGCGCCATTGTACTCCAGCCTGGGCAGCAAGAGCAAACCTCCAACTCAAAACAAACAAACAAACAAAAAACAAAAAACCACGAAACACACCTGTCAATAGTATGTGTGCAGCGCGGGAAAAGCTGGGTCAAGGATGGCTATGGGGACAGGTTCGAGCCTCTACGTAGGCAGTGAGATGGGCAGAATGGATGGTGGGAAAGACGCCTGGGGAGAAAACCCAAAGTTCTGATTCTCATTGGAGAATATCATCTGATGAGCCCTCCCAGCTGCTCCCCACCCCCAGCGGATGGTGTCTGCTCACCAATGGCTCTCTTCTCATCCTCCAGGAACCATTTGAGCTGTGAGACCAGCCTGTCCCCCTTGTGGCCCCTGACAAACTCACAGTTGGCTCTGAGAGCGAGCAGGTAGAGGGCCAGCTGGCCCATGGAAGGCTTGCCCTGGCAGTCACCGTCATCCTCGCTGAAGGCAGACCTAGGACAAGGCCAGTTAATGCCTTTGTGAGAAACTGCCACCCCGTAAGCCTGCTTACAGCACCCACCCCACCCGCATCACAAAGCGGGAAAAAATCTTAACAGTGGGAAACTTTGATAAAAGCTCCAAAAGGAGGTGTGTTGGCTATGTTGTTGTGAGGTGTATGCCACAAATATTTAATAAAGATGAACAGTTAGATTCAAGAATAAACTCCAAGGGCTCCTGTGTCCAGATCATCTGTGCCTGCCCCACTATTTTGTCCATACTTCACCCATATGCCCCCTCCTTTTTTATTTTTTTATTTTATTTATTTATTTTCTTTGAGACAGAGTTTCGCTCTTGTTGCCCAGGCTGGAGTGCAGTGGCATGTTCTCAGCTCACTGCAACCTCCGCCTCCCGAGTTCAAGCGATTCTTCTGCCTCGGCCTCCCAAGTAGCTGGGATTACAGTTGCCCACCACCACCCTTGGCTAATTTTTTGTATTTTCAGTAGAGACAGGGTTTCACTATGTTGGCCAGACTGGTTTCGAACTCCTAACCTCATGTGATCTACCTACCTTGGCCTCCCAAAGTGCTGGGATTACAGGCGTGAGCCACCACACCCAGCCATATTTTTATTTTTTTTTTTTACTGAGATAGGGTCTCTCTGTCTCCCAGGCTGGAGTGCAGTGGTGCCACCATGGCTCACTGTAGCCTCGATTTCTCAGCCTCAAAAGATCCTCCCACCTTTGCCTCCGGAGAAGTGGGGACCACAGGCATGAGTCACTACACCTGGCTCATTTTTTTTCTTTTTCTTTTTTTTAAGAGATGTGGTCTCACTATGTTGCCTAGGCTGGTCTCAAACTCCTGAGCTCAAGCAATCTTCCTGCCTCAGCCTCCCAAAATGTTGGGATTACAGGTATGAGCCACTATGCCTAGTCTTCTTTTCTCTCCACCCCTGCATCCACTTCTCAAGAGGGAGTCTGAGAAAGAGGCACTCCATGGCTGATTCTTCGCCTCTCATTCAAACCCCAAAACAGGCCTCTCTGTGATGCCTCTTGAAAAGGGAGCACAAAGATGCTGCTTTTGGATTGGTGCAGTGGCTCATGCCTATAATCCCAACACTTTGGGAAGCCAAGACAGGCGGATCACCTGAGGTCAGGAGTTCAAGACCAGCCTGGCCAACATGGTGAAACCCTATCTCTACCAAAAATACAAAAATCAGCTGGGCATGGTGGCACACGCCTGTAATCCCAGCTATTCAGGTGGCTGAGGCACGAGAATCACTTGAACCCGGGAATTGGAGGTTGGGGCAAGCCAAGATTGTGCCACTGCACTCTAGCCTGGGCAACAGAGTGAGAGGAAAGAAAAGAAAAGATGCTGCTTCTGGGCTCAGTATGAAAGAATGCGGTCATGGATTACTGATGTCTGCCTCATGCATGGGAGGGGAGCATACAGAGTCAGATGCTGCTTCTAAGCTCAATGTAGAAGACTGCAGTCATCGATTAGTGATATCTGCCTCAGGCACACTAAGGGAGCATAGAGTCAGATGCTGCTCCTGGGCTCATCATCAAAGAGTATAGTCACGGATTAGTTATGTCTGCCTCAGACACATGATGGACAGTAGTAGCAAAAGGAGCCTTGCATTAGCATCTCTGATCTAATCCAACCAACCCCTTCATTCTATAGATGGACAAAGGTCCTCCATTCTATAGATGGAGAAAATTTGCCTAAGGTCTGCCCACAAAGTGGTGACAGGCCCAAACTAGTACCCAAGTTTCCCATCTCTTAGTATGTGGAGCAAGACATGGAAAAAGAGAGTGTGGCAATACCCTAGGAGGCACTGCTGGTAACCAAGCTTGAGGCTGTGCAGGTAGAGGTCTTCCTTGGTCCCAGCCTGCAGACTGGAGAGGCGTAGGCCCACATAGATGCTGGGGTTCAAGTGCTCCAGGGAAAGCCGGTCCATCCAAGGTAAGAGGTGCTGGCCCAACTTCTCTACCAGATGGCTGTCCATCTCTGGTATTTCTTAGAAAAGAAAATGGTACAAATGAGGTCACAGGGCCAGGCCACCAGCAAAGAAGTGCTTTGACGTTACCAGGGCCTTCTCCAGAGAATACATGTCCTCACCCCCACCTCCACCCAGCACACACCAACTTGCAGGGGGAAATGCAGCCATACTGAAAGGCAGTGGGAGGAGAAAAGAGGGGAAGCGTGTATCTCTAAAGAGCAGTTGGAGTGAGCCAGCAAGAGAGGTGGTGGGCTGAAGATAGAGGATGCTACTGCCAGGCAACCACTCTGCCCATCAGCAGTGACAGTGAGACTGGTGTGCCCGGGCACCTTGCCCAATCTCACTTGGTCCTCATGCCAGTCCTGTGATGTAGATACTGTCATCATTGCTTTGCACAGAAGAGGAAACAGAAGTTCAAAGTCGTGTCATGTCTTACACAAGGCTGCAGAGCCAAGGATGGACCTAACTGCAAAGCCCCCGCTCTTTGGTGCCCTGCTGAATGTGTGTGCTACCCGTTTACAAAAACATCAGCCCACATGCAGAACGTGTTACACATCAAATTTCCAAACAACGCAAACTTCCAGCTGGTGAATTGAGGCTGCCTGGTGAACTTCCTCCATGCAGATCTCAAAATAACGCCTTTCCTGCCATCTCTGTTTAAATGAAGAGGACCTGAGATTGTGAGATGAGCTCTTAGAAAACAGTCACAGCTTGCAGCCGTTTACCTGTTGCTGTGGGATTTATTCGAAGCTGTGCAACGAAAATACTCAAACACTCTGGAAGCGGAAGCCTTAGGGATAGTTCCAAGGGACTTGAGCTCAGCACAGGGTAGCTTAGAGTAGTTTGCCTCGGAGGTAACCTTGCACTTTCGGTCCCTGTTTACTGCCTCCCAGTTGCTGCTGGGCTCCAGCTGCCTGATGGTGGCCTTCACTGTGCCATATCCCAGGGGACCAGAACGAGGACCAGAGCTCCTAGAACAGCTCCATCTCTGTGGGTCTGGGTCCCACAACCTCGTGTCTGTTTTCCCGACAGCCCCAGATACCTGTTGCTATAAGGTGACCATCCACCAGCATGAAACCCTACATAATCCTTTGCTGTGTGGGCCCAGACCAAAGCACATGGCTGGTTTCTCACCAGATGTTAAGAGAGACTGGGGGGTTGCTTTTTTCCCTTTCTGTCACTGAGAACCATTTTTTGGTGCCTATCTCCATTTCTCCGTCTCTGTCACTCAATGTGTGAGGCTCTCTGGGTCTGTCTCAGTCTCTCTCAGCCTGTGTCTCTCTGGTCATCTGCCCCCCTCCTCACCTCTCTTTCCTTTTCCCTTTTCTTGAAACGCGCAAGGGAGTTCCCTGACCTCACCCCGGGCTCTCACTTCCAGCACGATGAGTCAGCACAGGGTTAGAAACTGAAAGATCAGGATCCAGCTGTAAAGGGAGAGACTGACAACCACAGAGCAACCTCCTTAGAAGGAAGGGGCCAGGCAGATTCACGCAGGGTAATAAAAGCAGCCTTGGGTGAGCTCTCGCCCTACCAACCCAGCCCTGCCAGCTAAGGGCTGATTGCTGTTGACATTCACAAGCACAGGAGCCAGACAGAGTGGCTCACGCCTGTAATACCAGCAGTTTGGGAGGCCAAGGTGGGAGGATCGCTTGACCCTAGGAGTTTGAAACCAACCCTGGGCAATATAGTGAGACCTCATCTCTAGAAGAAAATTAAAAAAAAAAAAAAGAAGAAGAAAGAGAAAAGGAAGCACAGGAGCCCACTTTGCATTAGCGTTTGTGCAGCGATCCCTGTCAATTTCACAACATACATATAGAGCTTTAAACTGGGAGAGCAGGTGTCATGGGATCCTTCCTTGTACTACACCGAGGAGGAAGGCAGGGGAGCATTCTTAGCCCACTTTACAGATAAAGGAATGAGGCTGGGTGCAATTAAGTGACTCAGTGCAGATATTTGCACCCCAAACCCCAGTTCAAGATTCCCCAGACCCCAAGGGATTGGGGCTCCTGTGGGGTCAGGTTAATGGACTAACTGTCCAAGGCTGAGGACCAGATCAGCCAGGAGGAAGAGCTCTTGCTGGTTGAACCCAGAACTCCCCTGGGGACTGTCCGGACATGAACCAAGAGCTGGGGTTCCTGGGCCCAGACCTGAGGTGTCTGATTGCATTTATGGAACACAGATGAGAGGCTTGGAGTTCTGGCCGGGCACGGTGGCTCACGCCTGTAATCTCAGCAATTTGGGAGGCCGACGCAAGAGTTTCACTTGAGCCCAGGAGTTCGAGACCAGCCTGGGCAACATGGCGAAACCCTGTCTCTACAAAAAAATACAAAAATTAGCCAAGCATGGTAGTATGCACATGCAGTCTCCAGCTACTTGGGAGGCTGAGGTGGGGGAATCACTTGAACCCACAAGGCAGAGGCTGCAGTGAGCCAAGATCGTGCCACTGCACTCCAGCCTGGGCAACAGAGGGAGAACCTCTCTCAACAAAAAACAAAACGAAAACAAACGAGGCTTCAAGTTCTAAAAACTAAGTTCAGCAAAGCTCTGGAAAAGGTGGAGCACCCTGAGTGGGTCACTCAGCCCCTCCAACCCTCGACTTCTTCACTTGACACCTGGACATGACTGCACCCACCTCTCAGGGTTTCCCCAGGGTCTCAAGAGACCATGGGGGTGAAAGTGTATTGCTCAACGTAATCCTAGGTGCAGAGGAGGAGAAAAGGCGCGTGGGCGGCCCAAAGTTCCCAAAGCCTGCCTTCTGCCTCCTGTCTGAAGGAGCAGCCCTGAGCCTCTAAGCTCAGACTCATAGACAGGTCCCAGGAGACTGTGCTCCAAGAGACCCCTTGGGGCACAGAGCTGGAGCAGGCAGGACCTCCGAAGGCTCACTTCCTGCTGCCTAGAATGTGTGTCCCCCACTCCTTTCCTGCCAGCTCCTTTTCTTCCTTCGAGTTTCAGCTCCCATGTGTCCTCTTGGTCTTCAGAAAGTCTTCCCCATGCCCAGCTATTTTTTAATTTTTTTTATTTTTTGTAGAGATGGGGTCTCCCTATGTTGCCCAGGCTGACCTTGAACTGTTGAGCTCAAGCGATCCTCCCCTCCCGCCTCAGCCTTCCAAAATGCTGAGATTTCAGGTGGGAGCACCTAACCATTTCTTTTGTCTGTCCCCCTTCCCTAGAACATAAGCTCTAGGATGGCAGGGATTAGACTTGTCTCATGCTTTGCACGTTCCCCAAAGGCTAACACTGGGCCTGACACAGAAAAGGCTCAGTATGCGCTGAATGAATGTGTGAACGAATGACTGAATTAACGGAGATCTTGTCTGGTGAGGAGTCAAACATATAATCAATCACAATAGGATGTGTTAAATGCTGAGGTCCAGCTAAGCCCAAACTGCTATGGGAGCTTAGAAGGGCAGGTAAGTTCCCTCATCCTATGCCCTAGCCACCCCACTAAGGACCCAGGAGGAAAGAGGCACAGGATAGAGGCGAGTTACTCACCACACATCTCAGTGAGGGCCCCCAGGACCCCCAGAAGGAAGAGGAAGGCCCCAAGGTGCCTCATGGCAGCAGCAGGTGGGTGAGCAGTGAGCAAGAATCGGGAAAGACTCCTGGGGCTGGCCCTGCTGAGGCTCTCCTGACCACAGCTGGTCACCGCTCCGAGAGACGCAGCTTCCTGTCACTGATTAATCCTCCATGCCTGCAATGCACGGCTAAGTCTGCAGAGGGGTGGGGCGGGGGAAGGTCTGTGGTGGCGGGGAACATAAGGCCAAAGAACAGAGGAAGGAAGGGCAGAGCAGCCCTCCTGGAGGTAGGGAACAAAGGGAGGAGGAGGGCTAGTGGGACCATGTGAGACATCTTGAGGCCATTCACGTTCCTGCTTAAAGAGCCCGGGACCAGCGCAGAGGGCCTGATGCCTGATCTGTCAAGTCTGTCCGACCGTGCCTGTCTGCTGTCCCCCCAGCTGTTCCAGTGGTGGATTGGCAGGACCGGGTGCCTACCCGGTACTCCTTACCAAAGGAGCCCCTGGTAGTGCCCACCTAGCCCAGGACAAGGAGTGGAACGGGAGCTGCAGCTGCAGTGGTCACGTGAGCAGCATTGCTGGAGTCAGCTGTTTTTCAGCACCGCCTCCCTCAGTTGTGGCGGGAGGGGATTGTGGGGGTGGGGGAGTTGGGCAGTTGGGGAGGGGGAGTTGGGCAGTTCGGTGGGGGGGGGGAGTTGGGCAATTGAGGGGAGGGTGGGTGCCGCTGGCCCCAGACCAGCCAGGCCACTTTTCTCAACCAATCCGAAAGGGCTGGGAGCCTCCTGGAGAGGACAAAACAAAACAAGTTAAAGAATGGGATTAAGTCCGGGCACGGTGGCTCACACCTGTA
Organism: Homo sapiens; assembly: GCF_000001405.40. NCBI lineage: Eukaryota > Metazoa > Chordata > Mammalia > Primates > Hominidae > Homo > Homo sapiens. Next base: position 30,606,523 of record NC_000022.11, on the reverse strand, counting down.
ATCCTAGCACTTTGAAAGGCTGAGGCGGGCAGATCACTTGAGCTCAGGAGTTGGAGACCAGCCTGGGCAACATGGGGAAACACTGTCTCTACAAAAACACAAAAAACACATACAAAAAACCATAAATTAGCCTGGCGTGGTGGCAGACGTCTGTAATCCCAGCTACTTGGGGGGCTGAGGCAGGAGGATCGCTTGAACCCAAGAGGTGGAGGCTACAGTGAGCCAAGATTACACCACTGCACTCCAGCTTGGGTGACAAAGTGAGACCCTGTCTCAAAAATAAAATAAAATAAAAAGAATGAGATTGAATCGAGACACAAAGCTACCAGAAGCAGGGGTACTTGCCAGAACTCGGAAAGTAACCTCAAAAAAAATCTCTGCAAACAGGGAAGAGAACAAAAGATTCCTCATCTGCCCAGCCCCACAGGAGAATCAATGTATACGAGTTAACTAGTGGTGGCTGTGTGACTTTGGCCAGGTCACTTAACCTCTCGAGTTTAAAATAGTTCTTCCTGTGTGAGAAGAGAGGGTTAGGCAAGATCATCCTAACAGTTCCCTTTCAGCTCAATTTGTGAAGACACTATGACCTTAAAATATCTCCAATCATTTCCATGCACAATCTGCATTGCAATTATTTTATGGTAAATTGCCAAGGTTCACTCTTTTAAGACAATCTTTTTGAGCCTGATTTATCACAAACCAAGCCCTTGACATAAATAAATACAGCAACGTGTGTCTGTTTACGGAACTACTTGAAAATTTTAAATGATAGGTTGTCCAGTCAGAAAGGCTGGATGTGGCCACTAGGAGGAGCACCCCTGGAGGTTCTGAGGAAGGAGGGAGGCCAGTGGGGAGCCCAACTTCCGCAGAACCGCACGTTTGGACCTTCAGGGGAGTCATGGTGAAGTGTGTGCAATGGAGCCACCTTGGTCCTGGGTGGGACTGCCTTGGCTCCCCCAACCCTCTGCCTGTTTCCAGTAACAACTATTATGATTCCTATTTCCAGGAAGGCAGCCTGGAGGAGGTGGCCATGGAGGATAGCCTTCGTTATCGTCAGCCTCTGGTGAGAAGCAGCAGCATCCTTCCAGAGAGTCACTTCTGATCCCCAAGGTAGTTAGGGTGTCGAAGTAAAGGAGGGAGACACCCCCCTGCCTACCTACCTGGACTCAGTGCTAGAGGGTGGGGGAGTAGGAATAGGAAGACAGCATATTTCCCATACATATTAGAAATACTGGTGGCTCATGCCTGTAATCCCAGCACTTTGGGAAGCCAAGGCAGGAGGATTGCTTGAGCCCACAAGTTTGAGACCAGTCTAGGCAAGATGGTGAGACCCTGATTCTAAAAAACAAACAAAACCAAAAAATGCCAGGGATGGTGGTGTGTGCCTGTAAGTCTCAGCTAATCTAGAGGCTACAAGTGGGAGGATCACTTGAGCCCAGGAGGCTGAGGTTGCAGTGAGCTGAGATCAGACCACTGCACTCCAGTCTGGGCGACAGAAGGAGACCCTGTCCTAAAAATAAAGTAAAATTAAAAAAAGAAATAGAGTGACTGGTCAGGGGTAGTGCTATTTCAGGTCATGTGGTCAGGGAATGTGAAAAACAAAAATGATTACATCATTTAGATCAGGATTTCTATTTTTTTTATTTTTGAACTCCTGGGCTCAAGCGATCCTCCTGTCTCAGCCTCCCAAAGAGCTGGGATTACAGGCATGAACCACTGCACCTGGCCAGATCAAGATTTCTATTTGTGGTGAAAACTAGCTTGGAATGAGAAAGTAAAAGTCTGCCTGTGCTCCCACTAGACTGGGATAACAGGGACCTCTAAAGCCAGCTGCAAGCCAGCTGCAACATCAACAGGAAACATTTCTTATTTTTTCTTATTTATTTATTTTTTTTGAGACAGGGTCTCACTCGTTGCCCAGGCTGGAGTGCAATGGCATGATCTCGGCTCACTACACCCTCCTCCCGGGTTCAAGCGATTCTCCTGCCTCAACCTCTTGAGTAGCTGACATCACAGGCATGCGCCACCACCCCCAGCTAATTTTTGTATTTTTAGTAGAGACAGGGTTTCACCCTGTTGGCCAGGTTGGTCTCGGACTCCTGACCTCAAGTGATCTGCCTGCCTCAGCCTCCCGAAGTATTGGGATTACAGGCATGAGCCAGCGCGCCTGGCCAACAGGAAACATTTCTATCAAGGCCATGCATGCTACAGCTATTTGGGTGACTACTACTTTTTTTACTGATTATTTATATTTTTCCCCCTAAAAGCACAAGCAATCAGAAATTTGCTGTTTGATATCCTATTAGTAAGAACAGAACATCCCACTGTTGCCTAAAAGAGCTATGTCATTTTGACACAGACAAGCAGTCTCAGATAAGGTGTTTCTGGACTCAGCATTCCACATTTTTCTTAACTTTGTAGTTTCCAAGGAAACAAGACTCTAGGTCCACTTTGCCGTCCAGACCTGAAGCGGACCCTTCATACACAGCCCTGTGATACTTGGAGCCTGCTTGCCTCAAAACACTGCTTGCTTTACACTTCACCTAACTCCACCCTTCCCTTCAATTCTTTAATAACCTTTCCCTTTGTTCAGCCAGATCACTATAGTTCCTCTGCTGGGTGGTTTCCCTCATTGGAATAAGTCAACAACTGGGTTTGTTTCTGGTGGTTTTAGGCTGACTTGGCGAGGACTAGCCTAAAAATTAACCCAAAAGAGAAAAATAAAATTGTATGCATGAAGATGGCATGAGAAGAATGAATATAACAAATACACAACTCTAGTTCTATATGAAATATCTATTTTAGTGATTAAAAGTGTATATATATTAAAATCATATTTTAAGGCCAGGCACAGTGGCTCACACCTGTAATCCCAGCACTTTGGGAGGCCGAGGCGGGTGGATCACCTGAGGTCAGGAGTTCGAGACCAGCCTGACCAACAGGGTGAAATCCAGTCTCTACTAAAAATACAAAAATTAGCCGGGCATGGTGGCATGTGCCTGTGGTCCCAGCTACTTGGGAGGTTGAGGCGGGAGAATTGCTTGAACCTGGGGGCCAGAGGTTGCAGTGAGCCAAGATCATGCCACTGCACTCCAGCCTGGGTGACAGAGCAAGACCCCATCTCGGAGAAACAAAAAACAAAAAACAAACAAAAACAGAAAGAAAGAAAAGGAGGAAGAGGAGGAGAAAGCAAAGATAAAATCATAAAAAAATCCCATCAACTAGAGCATTGGTTCCCAACTGTGGTCACTGGATGACTGGTAGTCTCCAAGAACCTTTTAGGGGGCCTGTGAGTTTAAAATTACTTTCAAGTGGCTGGGCGCAGTGGCTCATGCCTGAAATCCCAGCCCTTTGGGAGGCCGAGGTGGGTGGATCACCTGAGGTCAGGAGTTCGAGACCAGCCTGACCAACGTGGCGAAACCCAGTCTCTACTAAAAATACAAAAATTAGCTGCGCCTGGTGGTGGGCTCCTGTAGTCCCAGCTACTTGGGAGTCTGAGGCTGGAGAATTGCTTGAACCCAGGAGGTAGAGGTTGCAGTGAGCCAAGATTACGCCACTGCACTCCAGCCTGGACAACAGAGCGAGACTCCTTCTCACACACACACACACACAAATTGCTTTCAAGTTAAGATAAATAGCAAGACACTATTAGTGTAATAGTAAGACATTTCATCAAATGGTGCAGGAACAATTGGATGTCTATATGCAAAACAAATCAACCTAAACATACACCTTTCACAAAAAATTAACTTGAAATAGACCTAACTATGAAACACAAAACTATAAAACTTCAAGAAGAGGTGATGCCTTTTTAGATACAACACCTAAAGCATAGTCCATCAAAGAAATAATTGTCTGGGTGCAGTAACCTCAGCACTTTGGGAGGCCAAAGTGGCAGGATCACTTGAGGCCAGGAGTTTGAGACAAGCCTGGGCAACATAGTGAGCCCCTATCTTTATCAAAAGAAAAGAAAAAAAGGAAAAGAAAATAAAAGAAAAAAGAGGCCGGACATGGTGGTTCACACCTGTAATCGCAGCACGTTGGGAGGCCAAGGCGGGTGGAACTCTTGTGTCAAAAAAAAAAAAGTATTAGTTTTCACACTGCTATAAAGAAATACCTGCAATTCGGTAATTTATAAAGAGGTTTAATTGACTCACAGTTGTGCATGGCTGGGGAGGCCTCAGAAAACTTGCAATCGTGGCAGAAAGCAAAGGGGAAGCAAGCACCTTCTTCACAAGGTGGCAGTAGAGAGATTGAGAAAGTGCCACACTTAAAACCATAGCTCTTGTGAGAACTCCCTCTCTATCATGAGAACAGCATGGGGGAAACCACCTCCATGATCCAGTCACCTCCCACCAGGTGTCTCCCTCAAGTGGAAATTACAATTCAAGATGAGATTTGGGTGGGGACACAGAGCCAAACCACATCAGAAAAAAAAGAAAAGAAAAGAAGGGGCCAGGTGCGGTGGTTCACACCTGTAATCCCAGCACTTTGGGAGGCCGAGGCGGGTGGATCACAAGGTCAGGAGAACAAGACCAACCTGATCAACATGGTGAAACTCCGTCTCTACTAAAAATACAAAAATTAGCTGGGTGTGGTGGCACGTACCTGTAATCCCAGCTATTCGGGAGGCTGAGGCACGAGAATCACTTGAACCTGGGAAGCAGAGATTGTAGTGAGCTGAGATTGGGCCACTGCACTCCAGCCTGGGAAACAGAGCGAGACTGTGTCTGGAAAAAAAAAAAAAAAGTTCATAACTTTATTTGTAACTGCTAAAAACCGGAAGCAGCCAAGGTATCCTTCAATGAATGCATAAACAAATTGCGGTACATCTATACAATGAAATATTGCATATATAAAAACAGTGATAAAACTAAGTGAGCCATTAAGCCATAAAAAGACATGAATGAGGCTGGGCGCAGTGGCTTACGCCTGTAATCCCAGCACTTTGGGAGGCTGAGGCAGGCAGATCACTTGAGGGGCAAGAGTTTGAGACTAGCCTGGCCAACATAGTGAAACCCTGTCTGTATTAAAAATACAAAAATGAGCCAAACATGGTGGTTCACACCTGCAATCCCAGCTACTCGGGGCTGAGGCAGGAGAATCGCTGGAACCCAGGAGGCGAACGCTGCTGTGAGCTGAGATCGCACCACTGCACTCCAGCCTGGGCGACGGACTGAGACTCCATCTTAAAAAAAAAAAAATTAGATCAAATAATCGTTGGCAAAAAGCATTAAGAGAGATAAAGAGGATGTGTCAGATTGTGTTTTCAAAGCTGTCTAACAATACCAGCTGTTCCACATGGTTTTCTGTAATTTTGTCATTCATCCATGAAGAGATGAGTCTAATTCCCCTCCCTTTGAATCTAGGCAGGTTTGTGACATCCTTGTCAGTAGCAGAATGCAGAAGTGATGATATATAACTCGAGGTCAGAAAAGAAAATGCAACTTCCACCTTGCTCACTTGAACACTTGAGCTGGAGTACTGAGCTGTCATGTAAGCAGTACAACTGCCTTGAGGCAGCTACAAACTGATCCACAAAGGTAATCCACATGGATAAACCCTGAGATTACCTTAAGAGAGAGAGATCGATCCAGCCAGCTCCCAGCTTTCCATACCCCTACTATTCCAGCTTTTATCGCATAAAAGATGTCAAGACAGAACCATTTAATGGAGCCCATCCCCAATTTTTTTTTGTTTTGTTTTTGAGATGGAGTCTCGCGCTCTGTCACCCAGGCTGGAGTGCAGTGACGCGATCTCGGCTCACTGCAAGCTCTGCCTCCGGGTTCACGCCATTCTCCTGCCTCAGCCTCCTGAATAGCTGGGACTACAGGCGCCCGCCACCACTCCTGGCTAATTTTTTGTAGTTTTAGTAGAGACGGGGTTTCACCGTGTTAGCCAGGATGGTCTCCATCTCCTGACCTCGTGATCCACCGGCCTCGGCCTCCCAAAGTGCTGGGATTACAGGCATGAGCCACCACACCTGGCCTTATTTTTATATTTAATAGAGACAGGACCTCGCTTTTTTGCCCAGGCTGGTCTCGAACTCCCGAGTTCAAGCGATGCTCACACCTCAGCTTCCCAAAGTGTTGGGATTACAGGTGTGAACCACCACGCCTGGCCAAGAGTTCTTTATCTATGTTATATAAGACTGTTCTGCAGTGAGCAGCTACATGCAAACCTACCCCCTGAAGTCTGAAGGAGCCGAGAGGCTGAAGATAAAAAACCTGACAACCTCAACTTGACACTGCAACCTCCATCTCCCTGGCTCAAGCAATTCTTGCACCTCATCCTCCCAAGTAGCTGGGACTATAGGCTTGTGCCACCACACCTGGCTAATTTTTTTATGTTTTAGTAGAGATGGGGTTTTCACCATTTTGCCCAGGGTGGTCTCAAACTCCTGAGATCAGGCTATCTGCCTGTCTCTGCCTCCCAAAGTGCTGGGATTAAAGGCGTGAGCCACCTAGCCTGGCCCTGTAACGTATTTTTTAAATTGAAAATGACCCAGGCATTTAATGAGCAGTTATTTAATTTAACATAAATATTTTAAATTACATGACAATTGTATTTATAAGCATTTATCATATATATTCATTTATTTTTGCTTTCATTTTCTTTTTGTTTTGAGATGGAATTTCTCTTATTGCCCAGGCTGGAGTGCAATGGCTCAATCTCGGCTCACCGCAACCTCTGCCTGCCAGGTTCAAGCGATTCCCCCGCCTCAGCCTCCCGAGTAGCTGTGATTACAGGCATGTACCACCATGCCTGGCTAATTTTTGTATTTTTAGTAGAGACGGGGTTTCTCCATGTTGGTCAGGCTGGTCTTGATCTCCCAACCTCAGGTGATCCGCCCACCTCAGCCTCCCAAAGTGCTGGGATTACAGGCGTGAGCCACCGCGCCCAGCCTATATTTTTCACCATTGCCTTAGACTAGTTATGAGAACTGAGATATTAGACAAAGGTAATCATTAAATTTGTTATTTTTACAGCCTGTGACTATCAGATGTTCACCTAAGAATCTTAAAATACGTACTTATTTTGTTGATAACTCGGAAGATTTCGCTGTTTCCTATTAAACTAGTTATATTAAATTAGTCATATTTATCAAAAAATCACACACAAAGGTCATTTTGGTTTCGGCTGGGTTTATAGTTTTACAATCTTTATGCCAAACCCCCAACACCCTTAAAGTATCTAGCAGAGACACATGTAAAAAAACTTTGACCAATAAACCAAGGCAAAAATGTATGTTAACAATTTTGAAGACATTTTTATTTTACCAATAACTTTTAAAACCAGTTTATTTATTAAAGATTTACTTGAGTCAGGCCAGACGCTGTGACTCATGCCTGTAATCCCAGCACTTTGGGATGCTGAGGCAAGTGGATCACTTGTCAGGAGTTTGAGCCCAGCCTGGCCAACATAGTAAAAATCCCATCTCTAACTAAAAATACAAAAAGTAGCTGGTCATGGTGGCACATGCCTGTAACCCCAGCTACTCAGGAGGCTGAGATAGGAGAATCGCTTCGAACCCAGGAAACGGAGGTTGCAGTGAGCCAAGATCGCACCACTGCACTCTAGCCTGGATGACAGAGCAGGACTCCATCTCAAAAAAAAAAAAAAAAAAAAAAAAAAAAATTTTACTTAAGTCACATAAACTTGAAAAATATATTTGGGCTTTCTTAATTTACGAGTATTTATTTTTAAGTCAACTTGGTACCATGTAGACACAATATACAACATATGTAAACACATCTAACCACATATATACACAAATAAAAATCTTACAGCTTTAGGCCGGTTGTGGTGGTTCATGCCTGTAACCCTAACACTTTGGGAGGCCGAGGTGCGGGGGTCACTTAAGGTAAGGAGTTCAATACCAGCCTGGCCAGCATGGCAAAACCCAACTTCTACTAAAAATACAAAAATGAGCCAGGCGTGGTAGCAAACACCTTTAATCCCAGCTACTCAGGAACCTGAGGCACGAGAATCACCTAAACCCGGGAAGCAGAGGTTGCAGCGACCGGAGATTGTTACCACTGCACTCCAACCTACTAAACAGAGTGAAAAAATAATTTTTTTTTTTACGGGTTTTACCTTAGAGCTCTAATCCTGGCATAGTACTGTGTCCGGAATTGGTGGGTTCTTGGTCTCACTGACTTCAAGAATGAAGCTGCCAACCTTCAAGGTGAGTGTTACAGTTCTTAAAGACGGCATGTCCGGAGTTTGTTCCTTCTGATGCTCGGATGTTTTCGGAGTTTTTTTCCTTTTGGTGGGTTCGTGGTCTCGCTGGTTGCAGCAGTGAAGCCATAGACCTTCCCAGTGAGTGTTACAGCTTATAAACGCAGTGTACACCCAAAAAGTGAGCAGCAGTAAGAGTTATTGCAAACAGTGAAAGAATAAAACTTCAACTGCGATCGAGACCATCCCGGCTAAAACGGTGAAACCCCGTCTCTACTAAAAATACAAAAAACTAGCCGGGCGTAGTGGCGGGCGCCTGTAGTCCCAGCTACTTGGGAGGCTGAGGCAGGAGAATGGCGTGAACCCGGGAAGCGGAGCTTGCAGTGAGCCGAGATGCCGCCACTGCACTCCAGCCTGGGCGACAGAGTGAGACTCCGACTCAAAACAAAAAAAAAAAAAACAAAACTTCAACTGCGTGGAAAAAAAACCGAGCGAGTTACCACAGCTGAGTCGGGCAGCCTGCTTTTATTCTCTTATCTGGCCCCACCCACATACTGCTGATTGGTCCATTTTACAGAGAACGGATTGGTCTGTTTTACAGAGTGCTGATTGGTCCGTTTTGACAGGGTGCTGATTGGTGTGTTTACAATCCCTGTGCTAGACACAAAAGTTCTCCAGGACCCCACTAGATTAGCTAGATACAGAGTGCTAATTGGTGTATTTACAAACCCTGAGCTAGACACAGGGTGCTGATTGGTGCATTTACATACCTTGAGCTAGATATAGAGTGTCGATTGGTGTATTCACTATCCCTTAGCTAGACATAAATGTTCTCCAAGTCCCCACAAGATCAGCTAGACACAGAGCGCAGATTGGTGCATTTACAAAACTTGAGCTAGACACAGGGTGCTGATTGGTGTGTTTACGAACCTTGAGCTACATATAGAGTGCTGATTGGTGTATTTACAATCCCTTAGCTAGACATAAAGGTTCTCCAAATCCCCACTAGACTCAGGAGCCCAGCTGGCTTCACCTACTGGAGCTCATACTGGCAGGACAGGTGGAGCTGCCTGCCAGTCCTGCTCTCATGCTCCCGCACTCCTCAGCCCTTGGGCAGTTGATGTGACCGGGCGCTGGGGAGCAGGGGGCGGCGCTCGTTGGGGAGGCTTAGGCTGTGCCGGAGCCCACAGCGGCAGGGAGGAGACTCAGGCATGGCAGGCTGCAGGTCCTGAGCCCTGCCCCACGGGGAGGCAGCTAAGGTCCAGGGAGAAATTGAGCGCAGCGCCGGTGGGCCGGCACTGCTGGGGAACCTGGCGCACTCTCCGCAGCGGCTGGCCCGGTGCTAAGCCCCTCACTGCCCGTGGCCAGCGGGGCCGGCCGGCTGGCTTCTCCGAGTGCGGGCCCGCCAAGCTCACGCCCACCCTTAACTCTAGCTGGCCCGCAAGCGCCGCGCACAGCCCTGGTTCCTGCCCGTGCCTCTCCCTCCACACCTCCCCGCAGGCTGAGGGAGCCGGCTCCGGCCTCAGCCAGCCCAGAGAAGGGCTCCCACGGTGCAGCAGCGGGGCTGAAGGGCTCCTCAAGCGTGGCCAGAATGGGCGCCGAGGCCGAGGAGGCACTGAGAGCGAGCGAGGGCTGTGAGGGCTGCCAGCACGCATCATCTCTCAGTACTACAGAGTCATCGGTTTATAAAAGATGGTTGGGTCCAAATTATTTTTGACAAAACTGGAACTTGTTTACATGGCTAAACTTTATTTATCCTAATAGGTAATCTAATGGAGGCTGTGAACCAAAATTTTGGGTAGTTTCCATGGCAGTTTGATTTTTAAAATCTTTTTTTTTTTTTTTAAGTTTTAAATGGGGCCAGGCATGGTGGCTCATGCCTGTAATCCCAGCACTTTCAGAGGCTGAGGCAGGAGGACTGCTTGAGCCCAGACGTTGGAAACCAGCCTGGGCAACATAGCAAGACCCCATATCCATATACACACGCACACACACACACACACTTGAAAAAACAATGAGTTTAGGGTTAAATTTTTAATGCTTATATTTTAGCTGGAACCTGGCTGAACTATATAGAAAAAATCTCCAGGTAGCCTTGAATTAGTAACACTGTAAAGAGTTTTATCTCAACACCAGTAGAAAAGTCAACAGACTTAAAGCAGGTAGAAAAATAAAATAGAGAATGTAGAAGACTCTACATGTTAACTCTGTAACTGCAGGTTGACCATTTGAGCTCTGAATTTTCCTTGATGTAATTTGCCCACCAGTTTAAAAATGTGCACAAAAACGGGCTATAATATGTAGCCAGCTAGCGTCCCAAAAAAGCTAGCATGTCTTTGAACTTTCCATGTGGTTTTTAAACATGTAAGCCAAAGGGTTCCTGAAGGTGGTTGGCTAGAGACTGTCCCGTTAGTACTAAGCACCCCCTATAATTGCACTTCCCTTACCCAGGTGACCCTTTGAGAGTACTCTTAGCATAAGCACCCTCACAAAATCTACGAATCAGCTGAGTTTGACCGGATTACACCTCCACCCCTGCCGGTAAGCCCAGGGTCCACAAAATGTTCCCTCCGTGGTCTGAATGGAGGGAATCAGGGAGGCCACCTTTAAACCCAGGGTTGACAAAGACATTCCTTGCAGGGTCTGGATGCAGGGAACTGGGACCAGGCACTGGGAAGGACTGGGAAGGCCCCTGCCAATGCAGGGCTGACAGGGGAAGGTTCCCTCCAGGGTCCACCAATGATGGGAACCCAGCTGGGAAGAAATAAAGTCTCCAAGATCTTTTTTTTTTTTTTTTTTTTTTTGAGACACTGTCTCACTCTTGTCGCCCAGGCTGGAGTGCAGTGGTGCAATCTTGGCTCACTGCAACCTCCATCTCCTGGGTTCAAGCCATTCTTCTGCCTCAGCCTCCTGAGTAGCTGGGACTACAGGCAAGCACCACCTTGCCCGGCTAATTTTTGTATTTTTAGTAGAGACGAGGTTTCACAATATTGGCCAGGCTAGCCTCGAACTCCTGACCTCGTGATCCACCCGCCTTGGCCTCCCAAAGTGCTGGGATTATAGGCATGAGCTGTCGCGCCCAGCCAGTCTCCGAGTTCTTTAACCTCAAGCAGGAGATCTTGGATTCTGATAGGACTTACCCAGACCCTTTCCCAGAGTGATCAGGAGCAAGGGGACTTTGTTAAAGAGTCCTTGTTGGTGCCAGGCATTGTCCAGGGCAACAGGAGGAAACAAATCTGGGGTGACTTTAGAATCTCACTCTCATTATGAGATATGTTAACTGAAAAATCATGAGAATCTATAAATTTGGACAGGAGACTTTTTATTTATTTGTTTGTTCGTTTGTTTATGTAGAGAGCCAGTCTCTCTATCACCCAGGCCAGAGTGCAGCGGCGTGAACACACCTCACTGCAGCCTCAACCTCCTGAGCCCAAGCGATCCTTTTGCCTCAGCCTCCTGAGTAGCTGGGACCACGAGTAGCTGGGACCACAGGTACACACTACCACACCAGCTAATTAAAAATAAGTTTTCCTTTTGTAGAGATGAGGGTCTCACTATGTTGTCCAGGCTGCTTTCAAACTCCTGGGCTCAAGTGATCCTCCCCACTCAGCTTCTGAGTAGCTGGGACTACAGGAACCTGGCCCTATGCCTGGCTGTGTTTTTTTTTTTTTTTTAAGGCGGGGCACAGTTTAGTAGAGACAAGGTATCACTATGTTGCCCAGGCTGGTCTAGAACTCCTGAGCTCAAGCAATCCTCCCACCTTTGCCTCCCAAAAGGCTAGGATTACAGGTGTGAGGCACCGTGCCAAGCTAATTTTTTTTTTCTGAAACAGAGTCTCTCTGTTGCACAGGCTGCAGTGCAATGGCACAATTTTGGCTCATTGCAACCTCTGCCTCCCAGGTTCAGGTGATTTTTCTGCCTTGGCCTCGCTGGTAGCTGGGATTACAGGTGTGCATCACCACGCCCAGACAATTTTTGTATTTTTAGTAGAGATGGGGTTTCACCATATTTGCCAGGCTGGTCTTGAACTCCTGACCTCAGGTGATCCACCCACCTTGGCCTCCCAAAGTGCTGGGATTACAGGCGTGTGTCACCATGCCCAGCAAATTTTTGTTTTAAATGAAACAATGTAAACATACTTAAAGCAACAACTACTTTATGCAGTTAGTGTTGACCCCATCTTACAAATGAGGAAGAGAGGTACCCTGAGGTAAAGTGGCTTGTCCGAGGCTTAGAGGTAAACCAGGTGTGTCTCCCTGCAGAGACTGGGCTTTTCACCGTAATGCTGATGGAGGCTTGGTATTGCACAAAGCATTCTGTGTGTGGGCAGCCCTAATGGTTAAAAACCTCTTCCCTTTATGGAACAAAAATCTACCTGGCATTATCCTGGAGTCACATAACATTCTTTCTACTATACGTTAGGTAGTGGAATGTGAGTTTAGCAGAGGACTCTGAAACCAGACTGCTTGGTGAGAATCTATTCTGCACAGCTTAGCAGCTGAGTGATCTTCAGCGATCACTTACTTTCCTGAGACTTAGTTTCCTCCCTTGTGAAATGTGGTACCTATATGACGGCTATTTTGAGCTGAAATTACAATTGCTTCCCTGAACATCCCCACCTGTGTCTTCCAGTGACCCCTCAACATTAATGTGAGCAAAACAAGGCTCAACTTTCTGCAAACATGGTTCTATCTGTGCAGGACGAGCTAGGTGATTTGTGAGGGACAGGGTGAGATGACTGCCCAGGCCACATGCTCACGACACCAGCCCTGTTCCTGTGTTGCCCTCATGAGCCAGCCACTGCCACCCTCTCCAGTCCATCCCTTTCCTTCTTCTTCTTTTTTTTTTTGAGATGGAGCCTCGCTCTGTCGTCTAGGCTTGAGTGCAGAGTGCAGTGGCACAATCTTGGCTCACTGCAACATCTACCTCCTGGGTTCAATAAATTCTCCTGCCTCAGCCTCCCAACTAGCTGGGGTTACAGGTGCCTGCCACCACACCCGGCTAATTTTTGTATTTTTGGTAGAGATGGGTTTTCGCCATGTTGGCCAGGCTGGTCTCAAACTCCTGATCTCAGGTGATCCGCCTGCCTCAGCCTCTCAAAGTGCTGGGATTACAGGTGTGAGCGACCGTGCCCGGCTTCATCTCATTTTTAACTGTGGAATTGCTGGGTTTTAAATTTTAGCTTTAAATTAGATAGTGCAAGTCACATAGTTCAAAACAAGTATTCACCAGTGCTTAACGTCTGTCTCTGTGTAAGTTCTAAGACCAAGTCCTTGGGCCAGGTCACATTCACAAGAGCCTCAAATTTAAACTTTTGAGATCATCTTCGAACGAAATTTGGAATTTGGAAAAAGGGAGAAACGTTTAAAAAAAAAAAAACCTCTTAAAATTGCATCTACTTCCAGACTGCACCATCTCAAGGTGATGTGACTATTTGTATAAATCTTGGAATTATTATTTGAGGAACACTTACAGAATTTATGTGTACAAATTAAAAGCTCGAATATGTTGAATGTACATTTAATTTTATTTATTTATTTATTTTTGAGATGGAGTCTCACTCTGTCGCCCAGGCTGGAGTGCAGTGGCAAGATCTCGGCTCACTGCAACCTCTGCCTCCCAGGTTCAAGCGATTCTCCTGCGTCAGCCTCCCGAGTAGCTGGGATTACAGGCGTGTGCCACCATGGCCAGCTAATTTTTGTATTTTTAGCAGAGACGGGGTTTCACTATATTGGTCACACTGGTCTCGAACTCCTGACCTCAGATGATCCGCCTGTCTTGGCCTCCCAAAGTGCTGGGATTACAGGCGTGCGCCACCGCTCCCAGCCTTGAATGTACATTTTAAATATACCACGAGTCCACCACTAAGGCTCAGAAAATATAAGTGGCCTCTAGGATCTCTATACCTCCGCGAGGAAAAATGTCTTCCTTTTTTCTATTTTAGCCGCATAACCGCGAATGAACCAAAGAGAACCCGAAGCCGGTGGGAACTCAGCGCAGTCTCACCCTGCCCCTCGGGAACCGCTTCTCAGCAGCGGCAGCCGAAGTCTGACGACGCTTAGCAACCGTTACCTTGACAACGCAATCCTATCGCGCACCATGGAGTGCGGCGCCCCTCTGCATCCCAGAAGGCACCGCGCTGTCCCTAAGCCTTCCGCCCCTCTCCGTCCCAACATGCAACGAGGCTCACAGTCAATGAATCGTCATCAGGGTGATTACAGAAAAGCCTGTATATCCACGTTTGTTTTAACACTTAAAGTGTTTGTAACCATTGTGAGCGGGAAAGATCTGGAAAGAGTGTTCTCAGTGATTTTTTTCAGACTATAGTTTTAAATCTTGAGGAGGAAATCCCCATCTTTCCCTGGACTTGTACAGGCATCTCATTGGGCAGCCCGCACAAACAGACAGCGTGGGGTGGGGAGGGTCCTCGGGGTCCTTGGCAGGGCACGTGCGGGAGGAAGTGGAGCTCCCTGTACGCGCGGCCCTAGTCGGCTCCTCAACGTGGAGCGATGGGAGGCCTTGAGAAGAAGAAGGTGATTGGGAAAGACGGTGGGGATTCCCGAGGGGTGGGGTGCGGGGGCGGCAGAGCATGGGGTCGACTCTTTTCCCGGGCTCCGTCTCGTGGAGACTGGAAAGACGGGATCGACGTGACCGTAATCAGCTGCGAGAAGGGGTCCGAGAATGGACAAGGATGGCAGTATTCGTTTAGTGAAATCCGAGAACGAACTCCAGAGTTCTTTCTGTGGAGAGGGCTGTGAAAGAGAGTTGAACTTACCAAGCGTAGCTTCATTCCAAAAGCAGGCCGAGCCGTGGGACCACTATTTACCGAAAGGGTGATAAACATTACGTAGAGCTCACCGTTACTGCACCGTTACATTAGTTGGTTAGTGTTGTCTTGGAAGTTCTCTTCGAGGCATAACATTTCGGCTGAAATGGGAAAGATCAGAACGTCTTGGATGGGTTCTGGGGCATGGGAGTGCTTAGCGAGCAGGCCTGACAAGGGAAACCAAGTGCCAAGATCAGTAGGCAGGGAAGGCTTGCTGTGTGTAAGGAGTTGGAAGGACATTAGGATGACTCGCATGTAAACCAAGAAAAGAATGGCATCTGATAAGATTGGGGTTGGACACGTACTGTATCGTGCAAGGCCTGTAAGCTTGGATTTTATTCTAAGTGCAGTAGGAATAGTGTAGAGCTTGGATTTTATTCTACGTGCAGTAGGAAAAAAAGGAGGAGTAACACGATTAGAGTTTTTCAGGGAGTTCTTGTGGCTGTATGGAGAATCGGCCCAGTGACATGAAAAGACTGGGAAGGGAATGGGAATGAGGAATATATAGTTGGCTTAAGTGTTTCTTTCAGAGTGAAAGTTTCTATTGCCAGTGTTCTTAACCCAACACACTACATTGAGTATCCAGTGCTAGCCATCGGAACTGCAAAGATACAAGATGGAAAACCTGCCCTTGAGTTGCAGATGTAGATATGTAACAAAATCGTTACAGTTTTTAAAAGCTGGGTTTCAGAGCCAGAATCAACAAAGATGAGTCTTTGTTGTGGGAAGGATTGTCTTGTGTGTAGTAGGATATTTGGCAACATCCCTGATCCTTTACCTACTGGATACCAGTAGCACCCAGCAACCAAAAATGTCTCCAAACATTGCTGAACTCTCCTCCCCCCAGCACATACCCAGGGAGTACCCCATTGAGAACTATTTATTCCCTTAACATTTATAAGGATAAGCATGGTGACAGAGATAAGTGTGGCATAAGGTAATGGAAAACGCTATAAATGAAAACTCAACTTCTTAAGGCAGTCTGAAACTCATCTTTATACCTCCAAGACTTAGCATGGGCCTAATACCTAATAGACAATTAATGTCTAAAGGAAAGAATGAATGAAGGGTATGTTTCATGACTATGATGTTATTAGTAAACGTACCTGTGGGAGACTAACAGGTTTGTCTCTTTAGAGCTGAACCTAGCCAAAGAGGCCCCTGCTGTCTTAGTCCAGAGGAAGATCTTGTTTGGAAACGACATGCTTGTTAGCTTGCAGGGTATTTGTTACAGTGCACTGATTGTCTCTATCGAGGGATACAGAAGTGTGAGGGATACAGAAATGTGGGTGTGAGGCAGCATCTTAGCACCACAGGCATCCAGATGGTTATACAAGACAATAGGCTTCTTAGGGGCAGGTAGAGACCAGGCTTTTTGTCTTTATTGCCTTCATAGCATCTAGCTTAGTGCTTTGACCATAATAGAGGACCTGTTATTGTCTGTTGAATGAATGAATGAGGAAGGGGAGAAGCTGTGTGGCTTAGAGCATGCTTTTTCAGCCAGGGTAATACCACCCTCAAGGGAACAAAATTGGTTGAGGGGCAGTATCTTAGCTATTACAATGGTTGTGGCTCCCCAAGGACTACATTACATAAACAGACCTACAGTATATCTCTGGTATTAACATTTTATGGGGCATAGGGAAGAAAGGGTGATGGGTGAGGGAGGAAGGGGGTGTCTAATAAGTCTCCTGGTAGTGGTGAAGAGGTTATAATGAGGAAGAAAAGAAGGGGAAAAGATTAGGAACACTGGCTTAGCTATTAGGCATTCAGGTACTGGACTCAGACCTGAGTTTGAATCCCAGCCCCAACTCTTAAAAAGCTGTGTGCTTTTTAAGAGTTGCATGGGTTATTTTACGAGCCCGTTTTCTCCTATGTGAAATGGACGTTCGGACAGCACCTACATCACAGGGTTATGGGAATTAAATGAAATGTGTGAAAATCACTAATTGTAATGGCCAACATTTAGAGCTAGTGCTAAGCACTTGGCACAGCACCCTATCCGTAGCAGCCTCGCAGCCCTCAGCATCATGCAGATGTATGTGTTCCCTATGCTGACAGCCGCAAGGATGGTACAGGAGAGCTCATCCAGGCAGGTCGGCTCCTTCCCTGCAGTGTTTCCTCTCCTAGACTCATCTCAGCCACTTATCCAGAGTGATAGTTGCCTCTGGAACTAGGCATGCCCAGAGTTTGATGTCAGTCACTACAATCATTGCTAATGGAGAATTGTTTTTTTCCTCTCCCAGTATGAACGAGGCTCGGCCACCAACTACATCACCCGGAACAAAGCCCGGAAGAAGCTCCAGCTGAGCTTGGCTGACTTTAGGTGAATATAGAGGGACCGTGGGAAGCCCGGGCAGTGAATTGCACATTGAAAACTCAGCTGCATCCCTGTCTTACCTGAGTTGCCATACCCATTCTGGGGTTCTGGTATTCCTTCTCTTTCTCACCGCCCTTGCTTTAGTGAGTTGTGTTTGCTAGGTGTGGTCCAAGGGAAAATGGAGGAGAACTGAACTGGATTGTCAGGATGGGCTAGCTGGGCTGGGATGGGCTGGGCTGGGTCCCTGCCATCCATCCCCTCCTATCTGGTAGAAGAGACCCCTGATCCTGCAACTAGGGGTTCTCATTCCTCATAGAGTCAAAATAAGACTTCACTGTGGCCTGTGGGCCCTGCCCTCTGGCGGTCCCTGGCCTTTGTGGCTCACCTGGCCCACTTTTTTTTTTTTTTTCCCCGGAGACAGAGTCTCACTCTGTTGGCCAGGCTGGAGTGCATTGGCGTGATCTCAGCTCACTGCAACCTCCACCTCCCAGGTTCAAGCGATTCTCCTGCCTCAGCCTCCCGAGTAGCTAGGATTACAGTTGCTGGCGACCGTGCCTGGCTAATGTTTGTATTTTTTTTTTAGTAGAGATGGGATTTCACCATGTTGGCCAGGCTGGTCTCCAGTTCATGACCTCAGGTGATCCTCCTGCCTCAGCCTTCCAAAGTGCTGGGATTACAGATGTGAGCCATCACGCCTAGCCACCTGGTCCACTTTTATTCCTTCAAACACACCAGCTGTTTCCAGCCTTCTGGACTTTGTCTCTTTTGTTAGGATGCTTCTCTCCTTTTTATGGCTGAAATGTTGATATCTCAGAAAGGCCTTTCTTAACTCCCCTAGAGACTCGCAAGTCTGCGTTTTTGTTTTATGATTGTGACTGTCAGACTCATGTACTAGGATGTGAGGTCTCTAAGGGCAGGGACCCCATGTTCCCCATTTACTGTTGTTTTCCAGGCCCAGCTGTGGCCAGTGCTCCCCACCTTTACCCACATAACTGACATAACAGATGGCCTCTGTCTTCCAGGCGGCTGTGCATTCTGAAGGGCATTTATCCCCATGAACCCAAACACAAGAAGAAGGTTAACAAGGGTTCTACAGCAGCCCGAACGTTTTACCTTATCAAAGACATCAGGTTTCTCCTCCACGAACCCATTGTCAACAAGTTCCGTGAATACAAGGTGAGGTCTGGGCTCTAGGGTCTGTCAGGTTCTCATCGCAGCTCTGTGACCCACTAACTAACTGTGACCTTGGGCAGATTGCCTACCCTCTCTGAGTAAGCCTATACAGAGGGCAGGGTGAGCCTCAACAGAAGTACTTGGAGGGAAGAGGTCGGTTAGTTTGGAGGACCTGGCCCCAAAACAGGACTCCGTTGCATTTTTCTGGGTGTCTCAGTGTCACACACAGACCCACAGCTTGTTTCATGCTGATATAGTCTGGTGTTGGCAATGGAGGCCAGCCTTTCTCATCCTGTCAGTGTCAGGTCACTTGGCTTCTGTTCTCAGTTGAAAAACGGAGCTGCTTTGCTGTGCCATCCTCCCATGTAAACGTGTGGAGTTGGGACATCTGTGCATTGTCAAAAAGGGTGCCTGGTCTAGCTCTGCTGGTTAACACACCAGGCTTGGTGCTCCTTGGAGTTGGCTCTTTTGCTCATCCTGGGCAGAGGGGTCAGTGACACAGGCACATAGCCGTGGCCAGCTTCAGGAGGCATGAGAGTCCTTCTGCCCTGCGTTTCCATCTTCCATGGAAGAAGTTGTCCAGGAGACCTGAGCCTCAGCATTGAGGTGTTTTCTTTCTTTCTTCCAGGTGTTCGTCCGGAAGCTCCGGAAGGCTTATGGGAAGAGCGAGTGGAACACTGTAGAGCGTTTAAAGGACAATAAGCCCAACTACAAACTCGACCACATCATCAAGGAACGGTGAGCCGGGCTTTCCTCAGGACACTGCTGTTTCTTCATTTACTGCTGGTCTCTGCCCTAGCACCAGGGATACAATAGGGAATAAGACCAAGACCCTGCTCAAAGAGCTTGCAACTTTTTCAAGGACACAGACCAAAAACCAAGCTAGCAAATTACTATAATGATTACGAGGTTTGTAGTTACAGGCTTGTCAGAGGGGTCTCTGAAGGGAGACGTTTGAGCCAGCCCGCGGAAGCACAATCCAAGCAGAGGCCATGGCAAGTGCAAAGGCCCCATGGTGGGAGAGCCCCAGGGCTCCATGAAGGCACGACGGGTACCTGGTGAGACGTGGGAAGCATGGCTAGACACCTCTCGTCTGAACTGTTCCTTGCCCAGCCTTCTCAGACTCAGTTCACTGCAACCTCCACCTCCCAGGTTCAAACAATTCTCCTGCCTCAGCCTCCTGAGTAGTTGGGATTACAGACACCACCACCACGCCTGGCTAATTTTTGTACTTTTAGTAGAGACTGGGTTTCCCCATGTTGGCCAGGCTGACCTCACGTGATCTACCCACCTCGGCCTCTCAAAGTGCTGGGATTACAGGTGTGAGTCACCGCACTCAGCCTAAATCAGCAATTCTTAATCAGGGGTGATCTTGCTTTTCCAGTGGACATTTGGCAATGTCTGGAGACTCTTTTTGGTTCTCACGACTTGGATGGACGTGCTATTGGTGTTGAGTGGAGAGAGGCCAGTGATGCTGCTAAATACGCTATAGTAGTCCCCCACAACATAGAATAGTCTGACCCGGAATGTCAGTAGTGGTAAAGTTCAGAACCCCTGGACTGGTAAATGTCTGTCATCTTTGGAGGCTGATGGCCCAGGAACACTGAGCTCTAGGATGGCTCGGGTTGGCTTCATCCAACCTGGCTGTGGGCTGTCACAGGAAGTGCCCTGGCCTAGGAGCTAGACAGCTGGTGTTCGCATCCCAGCTGTGTGGCACATGAGCTGGGTGGCCAGAGGGTATTTCCTAGCCCGAGCAGGTCCCCATCTTCAGAAGAGATGATGGTAGTTCCTGTCCTGCCTGTGGCACACAGTGTTAGGTGAAATAAATGAAAAAAAGCCACACACGAAAAGCAAGTGCCTGGATTCATACACACACCAAGTGTGGTGATGTGGTTGTGGTGATCTCATACTACACCATCCCCAGCTCCTTAGCTAGAGCCAGAGCTTAAGAAAGAAAAGCAGTTGGCCCAGAAATGCTGGTGCTGTTTCTACAGAAAGCCTGGGTTCTTGGTTTTGTCTGTGAGGTGGAGAGTGAGGAAACTACAAGGCACCAGAGGGGGCCAGTTGAGGCCGCCACCTCTGCACCAAGAAACCAGACAGCTGTTCTGCTGCCTCATCAGAGGTCTCTGCAGGCCTTTCTTGCATCTTGGCATGGGTTTGAAGACCTGGCAGACTTCTGACTCGCAGCAGTGAGTGATGCTATCTGGGGCTGGAAGGACCTTGGCAATGTCTGGTCTCATGGATTTTGGAGTCTTTTTTGAAATAGCAGAACCCATTCTTTTTTTTTTTTTTAACCCCTGCCCCCACTCCCCCCAACCCCTGACCAGAACCCATTCTTCAAAAGGAAGCTTCTTCTCCTTGAAGACTGGGCATTTGGAAAAAAGAAAATAGAAAAAGTAACAAAAATGATTTTTGAAAAGGTAGCTTCCTGGAAGGCAGTTTGGATGCCAGCGTCTCTGGCAGCTGCTGTGGCTGCGGGAGAGAGGCTTGAAGCTCTGTCTGTCCGCTTGGGCTCAAGGTGTTTCTAGGGAGCTGCAAGAGCCCAGTTGTAAATGAAGAGTCTGGGTCACAGCTCAGACCGGGACTGGAATCCAGGTGTCGTTACTTGTGGTTCCGTGTCTTCTCTGTGACCCATGCCTCTGTCCCTCAACAGGGCAGCCACACAGTGCCCAGGGTGGCTCATCCTTGTTGGCTTCGTCATTTACCAGAGGATTCCCCGAAACACATTCTGCTCTGGCTCTTCCTGGACCCAATTCCCTGGGTCTCATTGGTTCTGCCAACTAGACATGTCCAAGGGATGAGAGGCATGGAAGACATAACCTACGCTGGCGACCGGTGGCCAGGCCCAGTCATAAGTGCTGCTGAGGGGAAGCAGCCCCCACCCCGCTCCCTGCTCCACCAGGGCAGCTTCGGTTTCCCATTTTCCATTTTGGACCTCCCTGTAGAGTGTCTGTGCACTAAAGTTTCCACCTTCAAAGAGAGTCATAGAGCCCCTGACTCCGTCTACCGTCGTGCACCACAAAATCCGCACGTGGGTCAAGGCTGGGTCTTTGGTGAGCATTCGGTGTCTTGAGGACCCCCATCGGGACTTCTCTGGTCCTCAGAGCCTAGTGGGCGCATCCTGGTTAAGTGGTTCCTCCTAGGGGCTGTGGTCAGCTGTGGGGAAGCTGCTCCTGCCAGGTCAGGAGGTGGCAGTGGTGAGGCCTGGCTTGAGGAACGGGGCATCTGGGGTGGGATAAGGAGATCAGGGTCCCCCTTGGCACCCACGCTGAACAGGCCCCATGTGCTGCCTCACTGGCCATGCAGGTATCCCACGTTCATCGATGCCCTGCGGGACCTGGACGATGCCCTCTCCATGTGCTTCCTGTTTTCCACCTTCCCGCGGACTGGCAAGTGCCACGTGCAGACCATTCAGCTGTGCCGCCGGCTCACTGTGGAGTTCATGCACTACATTATCGCTGCCCGTGCCCTGCGCAAGGTGAGCCTGGGACTGCCCGGCTGGCATCCCACCCTGCCCCCTCTCCTGCCACCCCATGGTCTTCACCCAGATGTCTCCTCCTCTCCCCTAGGTCTTCCTGTCCATCAAAGGCATTTACTACCAGGCCGAGGTACTGGGGCAGCCCATCGTGTGGATCACTCCCTATGCCTTCTCCCATGACGTGAGTGTGCCTGTCGGGAGGGGACGGGCTTGTGCTGCCTCCTAGACAGATATGGATGTGGAGGAAGGGGGATTTTGCTGTCCATGGAGTTTAGCAAGTGCTGGGTTCCCAACTGTTGATGAGGGGTGAGGCGCGGCAGAATGTGCCACACAGCATCCTCATTAAGAGCGGGAGCCTAAGCTAGCCCTATGGCAGCACCTGCCAGCTGCGTGCCCTTGGACGTGTTCCTTTCACCTCTCTGTGCCTCAGTTAACAGTGTCTACACCCTTAACAGTGCCTGGTGCTTGGCCTTTTAGGGCCGAATAAACAGTGAGAACAGCTATCAGGGCCATACCCAGCCTGCATGCCCAGCACCATGTGGTGCCACCACGGGGACAGTGGCAGAGCCCTGCCCTCGAACCTACTGGGCTCCTCGTCCCTGCTTTGCTGCCGATAGCTGCCAGACCTTGGCCAAGTGGCCTTGCCTCCCTTCTCTGCTTCCCCCTTCCTGCCTCTCTGCCCCACAGGACTCGGGGACTGGGAGAGAAGGGGAACGGTGAGCACAGGAGAAGCACTTAGCATGTGGCACTGTTTCCTACATATATTGTTTTCTTTTTCTTTTAAAATAGAGATAGGGTCTCACTATATTACCCAGACTGGTCTGGAACTCCTGAGCTCAAGCAGTCCTCCAATCTCAGCCTCCCAAAGTGCTAGGATTATAGGCGTGAGCCACAGAGCCCAGCCTTTTTCTTTATCTCTTTGAAATCCTGGGAATTGTTGGCAGGGATCCACTGAGAGAAACCCTGGTTTTGCCCTCTCATGGAGCTTCTAGTGCCCCGCAGGTGGGCCAGGCTCTCCTGCCTCCCTGTGCTGGTGGCCTGCATTTAGCCCACCTTGCTTGATCATTGAGTGGGAACTGGTGCCTTCAGCGGAGAGCAGCCGCTGCCGGTCCAGTTAGCACAGTGGCTCTGCTGCCCAGATTATCAGGGGCTCCAGGGGGAGCTGGGACTCTAGGTGCCCTGGGCTGTTACTTATGATCCCTTGTGGGTGGGGTTGCAAGGACTGGAACCTACCCTGACTGGCTGTCTGGTGGTGAGGCTGTGGCCTGTTTGCGAGTGAGAGGCGGGCTTGGCCCTCAGCAGTCCCTGTTCCCTCTCCCCCTGGGGCACGTGTGGGTGGCCCTTCCTTCTTCCCTTCCCCAGCCCTCCTCTCCTCCTCCTTCCTTCCTGCCTTCCTCTTGGTCCTTCCTTCTCTCTGATGTCCTGCCCCCATGCTGCTCAGACTGGTCTTTGTGTGTCCTCCCTGGTGGTGAATAGGGCCCTGTGGTGGGCCGGCCTCCACACAGCTGGCCCTGGGGGAAGGGAGCCAGCCACGCATTCCCCTTTCCTCCTTGGCCAGTTCACTGCCGTTGCTTCCTCTCAGCGGATGGGGAGGACTGGCACTAGGTCGTAGCGGAGCCCAGTTGTGCCCCTCCTGTGAGCAGCCAGGGTTGGGTTCATAGCTGTGGAACTCAGGCTGGTTGTAGGGGCGGGGTCTCCCTGCTCAGTGCTGGGCTGTGGGAAATGGGGTTGGTCCCCAGATGTGCCTGTCAGGGGCCCTCACAGATTCTCATGGAAGGATGGCGGTGTGAGTGAGGGAACAGGCAGGGCTTCTCTTGGCCCTATGTGCTCTCACAGCACAGGTCACTGTCTGGCAGCAGAATAGCGGAACAGCTAAGAGTCATGGGCACACCCGGCACCCATGGTGATCACTACTGATTTTCACGTTGCTCGGAACATCCTGCCGCGTCCTGGGGGCCAAATGGGCTGGCTCGGCCTCCATGGTTTTAGGGGGCAGAACTGCTCAAGAGTTGTGATTCTGTCTGGGCCTCAGTTCTTTGCCCTGTTTTGCCCTATTAACTGCTCCAGGGCAAAGATGAGCCTTCTGTGTCCCCTGCTGCTGGGATGACAGCTCTGTGCCTTTTCCCTGAGCAAAAAGTAGTTTTGTCTGCTGGCCATTTCCCAAGAGCTCCCTGGGGGCTGAGCCAGGCCAGCTGCCAGCCTACCCTGGCCCCTCGGGTCATGCCTCTGGACCTGGCTTGGGCCCAAGGAGGGAGTCACTCAATTCTGAGTGTCCATCCCAAGGTTCAGAGGTGGGACTCAGTGGGCGGCCTGAGCCCCATGCTTCCCCCGCCCCCGCTGGGCCTGGCCTTCCCAAGGCACCTTAGTCAGCCAAGGTTTTGCCAGCCCCTCTGGGCTAGAGACAGCGCTGGGAGCACCACCCTCTGGTGCTCACACGCTAGCCCAGCAGCAGACATGCAGCAAAGATTGTAGACTAGGTGATGTAGAAGGCAGGAGCTCTGGCCAGGTCGGAAAGTGGTCTGTCCGAGTCTGAGCTAGACCTGAAGGAAGTGGGAGAGCCGGAGCAGGGAGGGGAGGGCCAGCCAGTCTTCGGAGCAGCAGGGACCAGGGTCCCTTTTCTCACTCTTTTATGGGGGTCTGGCACTGACTTCCAGGATGCGTCTAACCCTTGGGACCCCTATCCAGAGCCTCACTTGTGGCTGGGAACACTTGTGGCCGGAACGCCCCTGGTGGGAAGATCCATGCCACCCCTTCCCTAGGGCAGCGCCTTAAGGGCAGAGCCTTCTTGAGGAGCTTGGGGTCTTTGGGTAGGTCAGACACCCTCCACTCTGTGGGTTGTCTGTCCCTCCTTTGCCCCCATCCCTGCACCCACACTGCTCATGCATCTCTTGTGTTCCCCAGCACCCGACAGACGTGGACTACAGGGTCATGGCCACCTTCACCGAGTTCTACACCACGCTGCTGGGCTTTGTCAACTTCCGCCTTTACCAGTTGCTCAACCTCCACTATCCCCCGAAGGTAGGACCCCAGCCCAGTGCCTTCTGCTCGCCGTGCAGGGGCCACAGCCCTTCTCTGTCCACACAGAGGCGAGGGGCTGTGGCTGTCCTCTGCCTCCTGACCTTCCCTTTGCCTACTAGCTCGAGGGTCAGGCCCAAGCAGAGGCAAAGGCCGGTGAGGGCACCTACGCGTTGGACTCCGAGAGTTGTATGGAGGTGAGAGGCTCCAGGAGCATCATCCGGCATCTCCCAAGGGAGTGGTCTCTGTCCCCAACACCTCTGGGGGTCTGGTTCAGAGTGGGGGTGGTTATGGCTAGGTGGGTGGTCTCAGCCTGCCCTTGGAACCCACACCTGCTGATGCCCAGGACTGTCACTGCTGCCCCTCCCCACCCTGGCCACATGCCCGCATGAGGTCCCCCACTGCAAGCAGCCCCCTTCTCTCCTGTAGAAACTGGCAGCCCTCAGTGCCAGCCTGGCCCGCGTGGTGGTGCCTGCCACAGAGGAGGAGGCCGAGGTGGATGAGTTTCCCACCGATGGGGTGAGCACTGCACTGCCTTCTGGCAGGAGGGCTGGGAGGGGTCGTGTGGGGGGTTTCCCAGCTTAGGGACATTTGCATCCTATAATTAGGTGTTATTTGATGGTCAAAGCAACTGAGCAGAAGAATGGGCTGAATTGTCATCAGAGTTTACA
This sequence comes from Homo sapiens, assembly GCF_000001405.40. Lineage (NCBI taxonomy): Eukaryota > Metazoa > Chordata > Mammalia > Primates > Hominidae > Homo > Homo sapiens. The sequence goes on along the minus strand of NC_000022.11, from coordinate 30,580,859 downwards.
TAGGAGGCAACAGAGCTCAGGAGTGGGGCCTTGGAGTTTCCTTTGAAGGCAGGATCCAGGATCTAGAAGGAAGCTGGAGTGGACGTTATCTCCAGCCCTGGCCCTCCAGTGGGGGTGGGCAGCCCTGGTGGTGCGAGGCCTGGCCCCTTTCTCAACAGGAGATGTCAGCGCAGGAGGAAGACCGCAGGAAGGAGCTGGAGGCGCAGGAGAAGCACAAGAAGCTTTTTGAGGGCCTGAAGTTCTTCCTGAACCGAGAGGTGCCCCGTGAGGCCCTGGCCTTCATCATCAGGTAGGGAGGCTCAAGGGCCCGCTGACAGCATTGGTTCGGCCATGCTCTGGTCTGGGTCCTGCCCTGGTGCCCATCGGTAACATTGGGATGGTGTCAGTTTCCACTTCTTATGAAACAGTGTGTGGAAAGTGCTCGGCACCGCACTGAGCACATAGGAAGTGCTCAGCAGAGGGCGGAACTGCCGTCATTTTATTACTAGCTTAGCACAGAAGGATGGGCAGTGGGCAGATCTCTGCTGAGCCAGGATTGAAGGATCCTGGGGTGAGGAGGGGGTAATTGTGTCCTAAGAGGGTGAGTTTATGGGCTGGGTGGCCAGCAGGTCCCAGGGAGCTGAGTCTCAGGACAGGCAGCTCATGTCTGTGTACCCGTGTGGGCTCTCCCTGTCCCTGTAGGAGTTTTGGTGGGGAAGTGTCCTGGGACAAATCTTTGTGCATTGGGGCCACCTATGACGTCACAGACTCCCGCATCACCCATCAGATTGTCGACCGGCCTGGGCAGCAGACCTCAGTCATTGGCAGGTAGGCCCTCAAGGGTCCTCGTCCGGATTTCTGGGTATCCTGTCTCAAAGGCCCTGCGATGCAGCAGGACCCTGAGTTGCCCTCTGTGACTCGTTTTTGCCTGCCACTCTGCGCCAGGTGCTACGTGCAGCCCCAGTGGGTGTTTGACTCAGTGAACGCCAGGCTCCTTCTCCCCGTGGCAGAGTACTTCTCTGGGGTGCAGCTGCCCCCACACCTTTCACCCTTTGTGACCGAGAAGGAAGGAGATTACGTTCCACCTGAGAAGCTGAAGCTGCTGGCTCTGCAGCGGGGAGAGGACCCAGGTGAGCGGGATGGGACTGGGCTGGCCTTGACCCCTGGGCCCACGCTGGCTGTTTCCCTTAGCTGCCAAGGTGGAAAGCTCCAGGGAACAGGCAGTAGGAGCAGAAAGCCCTTTGAAGTCACCTGTAGAATAAGGCTTAGGAGAAGGGACATCTACCTCCTGGGGTCAGGTGTTATTTGACGTTCAGGATGACTGAGCAGAAGAACATGCTGCATTGTCATCAGAGTTTACATTGGAGGCGACAGAGCTCAGGACTGGGGGTCTTGGAATTTCCTCTGATGGCAGCTGGGCTGTGGGGAGGTGCAAGAGAGGGCCACAATTGGGACATCCCTGAACTGCCCATGGCTAAAGACGGCAGGGTCAGAGAGGATGGGGCCTGGGCCTGTTGTCACCCTGCCAGAGAGACAGTAGATTCCCAGGGCATTCAGAGGACATTGGCTTTCTCTAGGAAACCTGAATGAGTCAGAAGAGGAGGAGGAAGAGGACGACAACAACGAAGGTGATGGTGATGAAGAGGGAGAAAATGAGGAGGAGGAGGAAGATGCAGAGGCTGGTTCAGAAAAGGAGGAAGAGGCCCGGCTGGCAGCCCTGGAAGAGCAGAGGATGGAGGGGAAGGTAGGGGGAGCTGCAATGCGGGGCTTGGCCTGGGAAGCAGCCCTGCTTGGTGCCTGCTCTGGCCTAGAAGGTCAGGAGCCAGAGGACTGTGGAGGTCGGGAGAACCTGCCCCCATAAGCACCCTCCTTGTGTCCCCAGAAGCCCAGGGTGATGGCAGGCACCTTGAAGCTGGAGGATAAGCAGCGGCTGGCCCAGGAGGAGGAGAGTGAGGCCAAGCGCCTGGCCATTATGATGATGAAGAAGCGGGAGAAGTACCTGTACCAGAAGATCATGTTTGGCAAGAGGCGAAAAATCCGAGAGGTGAGTTCTTGCCACCCACTTGAGATCCAGGTGTGGCCACCAGACCCAACTGCACAGGTGAACTTATGTGGCTTGGGGCCCTCCTCTAGGCAGACTGAGGCTCTCCTAGCCTTTTCCTGAGGTTGCCTGCCTGGCCCAGCCCAGCCTTTGGGGCCCCCGACCTGGGCCAGTGTAGGCGTCTTGGTACTGCCATCTCCGGCCTGGGCTTTCCTTACGGCTTCCGTCCCACCCCGCATCCGGCTTCCTGAGTCTGCTGGGGTCTGCAAACAGAGCCTTCCCGGCAGACTCAAGGACTGGGGGCGGGGGTGGCGGGGGGGAGCTTTGTTAAACTTCTATCTGTTTTGTATTTTCTTGTTCATGAAGCCATATATGCTAATTAAAAATACAAACTCATGCACCCTGGAACCCTGTGATGAGTGATGCAGAAGTGGCTCACAGCCCTGCCCTTGGAATAGAGCAGCCTGTAGTAACAGCCCCCAGGTTTCTCTTGTGCCCATAATGACCCGTGTTTGGGAGGTCATGCTATAGGTTGTTTTGAGATATAATTTGTTTTTTGAGACAGAGTCTTCCTCTGTCACCCAGGCTAGAGTGCAGTGGAGCAATCTCTGCTCACTGCAAACTGTGTCTCACAGGTTCAAGCAATCCTCCTGCCTCAGCCTCCCGAGTAGCTGGGATTAGGGCGTGTGCCACCACACCTGGCTAATTTCTGTATTTTTAGTAGAGACGGGGTTTTACTGTCTTGGCCAGGCTGGTCTTGGACTCCTGACCTCAAGTGATCTGCCTGCCTTGGCCTCCTAAAGTGTTGGGGTTAGAGGCATGAGCCACTGTACCCAGCCTGAGTTGTAATTTTCATTTAACCATAATATGGACTTCTCATCCAAAACCTGGCCTGTCCCCTGTGATGGGATTAGATTGTTCTCCAGTTTCAGTCATTCTCAGAAAACATCCCTGAGCATGTTCCTGCCCGCCTCTTAATGATTCTGCAGGCTAAATTCTTAGAAGCATAATTGCTGCAGTTTTGAAATAGTTATTGTCAAATGGGTCTGGGCATGGTGGCTCACGCCTGTAATCCCAGCACTTTGGGATACCAAGACAGGAGGATCACTTGAGGCTAGGAGTTCAAGACCAGCGTTGGCAACATATTGAGACCCTGTCTCTACCCCCCAAAAAAAAAAAGAAAGGGCTACGCATGGTGGTGCACACCTGTAGTCAATCCCAGCTACTCCGGAGGCTGAAGTGGGAGGATCGTTTGAGGCTGCAGTGAGCTATGATTGTGCCACTGTGCTCCAGGCTGAGCAACAGAGAAAGACCCTGTCCCTTTAAAAAAATTAAAAATATATTGTCAGATGACCCCGGAAAGAAGGTTCTTCCTGTTGTACCCCTTTCCACCAGCTCCTGGTGAAGGTTCTAGTGGCATCCAGCTTTCCCAGGTGGTGTAGGGAAATGGGGCAGTTGCCAAGGCTCCTTCCAGCTCTGGGAGTTTAGGATTCTCTTATCTCGAGATTTGTGGGCCCATGAAATAATGTTGTTAAAGCAGGGCTAGCGCATGTTTTCTCACCATGAAGTGGGTCAGGTAGATTTTTTTCCTGTGAGAATTTGTGACCTTTTCTTGAAGCTCTGCTTTTAAGGGATATAGCTTTGAGTTCTGTGCCCCCCACCCTCCCTTCTACACATACCTCAGCCTGACCTTCGCCTTCCCCCTCACAGGCCAACAAGCTGGCGGAGAAGCGGAAAGCCCACGATGAGGCGGTGAGGTCTGAGAAGAAGGCCAAGAAGGCAAGGCCGGAGTGAGTGCCTGCGGCCCCTCACAGGGCTGAGGCCAGCCCCTAGCAGCTGGATGTGGCAGAGGCAGGCCAGAGGACCTAAGTGTGATGGACCAGAGTCACTTCTCCTCCTCCTTTCTCCAGCCAGCCCTGACCCCTCATGCTCTCTGGCTGGGCCAGTGGGCAGCCCTCGCTTCCCTTGGATGGAGCTGCCCTGCTGGTGCCTGGTCAGAGAAGAGGCCTCTGTGCCCAGCCTGATTCTCTGCTCCCAGGAGCCAGTGACATGAGGTGCAGAGGCCCACCCAGCCCCCTACCTACTGCCCCCATTCATCCTGGCTTTCCACAGCCCCCTCCCACACAGTTGGACCCGTGATTCTCAGGGTGCTGTGATGGGGTGAGGGTAGGGGGAGCATTTGTTATTAAATGACTGGACTTTTGTGCCAATTGCATTTTGTGTCCATGAGCCTTCCTAGGGTTGGAGGAGGCCTACCTAGCACTCTATGCTGCAGGCTGGGCCAGCCCTGGGTATTTACTGAGACAGAGCTGGGCACTGCTCAGAGCTCTCTGGATGTCCAAGGACCCCTCCAGGTCCAGGGATGCCAAAAGGTAGGTGCAGAGGTTCTGGACCTGGGCTTCACAGCCTGTCTGACCATGGTTCACATTCTAACCCAGGCATTTTCCCTCTGCACCTGCTTCCTCATGTGTCAGTTACTGGTAGAGATTCTGTTCTTTGAAAGGGATGTGTTGAGGGTTCTGTGATAACTTTATAGTCTCAGACCTTATGGACTTGGTAATATCAGGTGTGTGGTAAGTACTTGGTAAACACCAACTGATTTATATCACTTCCTGCTGGACTCGGCCCAGAAGGTAAAAGCCAGAACCGGAAGGATCTGTGGGTCTGCGGTGAGGTCCTGCCCTCAGCTTGCCTTGGCGCGTTGGCAGAACCGCTGAGTACCTCCCAGCGTAGGATTCCGCAGCAGCTGCACTTACGGTCTGTGAGGCCTGCCTGACAGCTTCCCCGCTGACCTTGGCAGTGTCCCTGCTGACGCCCATTGGGATATGCCTTTGCCTGGAACCGCCAGTGCATCATGATGGAGCCAGGACCACAACCTGGGTCTCCCAGTGCTCACTCAGCCCCTCCCAGGACTCACTTCCCGGGGTGAGTGCTGTCGAGGGTTGGGGCCACGCTGAGGAAGTGTGGGTTTGGAATGGCTCTACTTTCCCTGAATCTAGGCACCTGAGGGCCTTGCCCTCTGCCTCTCACTGTTTGCTGGCTGTGTGGGCAGAGAATGTTTTTGTGGCAGTGGATGTAGGTCCAACCTGTGCAGGGGGAAGGCAAGAGCTTGGGCAGGCTCTGGCCTGGGGAGCAGAAAACCTAGGGCTCCCCCTCTCAGCTGGGACTGGCTGTGGGTGGAAGGAGAGGGCTGTGTGCCATTCCCACTCTGTCATGCACACGGCGATGGGAGGGAGTGAGGTTGCCTCCAGAGGCTGGGACAGAGGGTCAGGACCTCTGGAGCCAGAGCCTGCAGCCCCGGGAGACAACTCAGGCCTGTCTGGGGAACTGTGCATCCAGGGCCACACGGCTAGAGCGCAGGCCCATCAGATACGGAAAAATTCCTGGCAGCCATGCTGATGTGGAATTTTCCCCATTCCAGAATCGCCCAGTAATGGCGGGGGCAGTGGGGCTCTGACGCATCCCAGGCCCCACTGGGTGGCCAGCTGGTTCCTTACTGCCCACAGCTGGCGCTGAGGATTCCTGGCCCCTGGCAGGCATTGGTCCTCATCCATGGTCTTGCTCCTCTGGGGTGAAGAAGGAAAGGCCAGGCCTGGAAAATGAGACAGGGCCTGGATGGGACACCTGCCTCCTGGTGGCCTTGCTCAGCCCTCATTGGCACCCTAGAGAGTGACAGCTGAGACCTCCAGGTGACAGGACCAGTTGGAGCTCAGTCTCTTGCTTGAGCTCCCTCCACTCCCATGAGTGCCAAAAATGTGTCGTCCCCAGTTGGCACTGACTAGAGCAAGAAGCCGTATGATCCATTGGATCCTAAGGGCCCCAGGACCCCCCAACCAAAGTTAAGCAATAGTCCGTCCGCCGCCTTTTTCCCAGAGCCCTGGCTCCCCTCCCCACCACCACCAAGCCTGGGCATCCTCAAGTCTTCTGGGCTGGGGGCTCCGTTGAGCCAGAGGACCGGGGCGGGACAATGGCCCCGTTGGCGCGTCCGAGACAAACGGGCCTTGTTGGGCCGGCGGCGGGGGCGCAGCGTTGCGCCCCAGCGCGCTGAATGCGGCTTCTGTGCGTCTCGGGCGGGCGCAGAGGGGCCGGGATGGGGCGGGGAGGGGGCCGGCCCGGGGCGGGGAGGGGTCTGGGGTCCGGGGCGTCCATTGGCCCCGGCGCCGGAGGCTGGGCCAGGCTGGCGGCGGCACCTGGCCGGGAGCGGGCGCGGCGCGGGAGCGGGCGCGGCGCGGCAGCGGCGGCGGGGGCGGGGGCATGGACCAGGCCTGGTGGAGCGGGGGGCCCGGCCGGGTGCGCCCCGCCGCCCAGTGAGCGCCCGGGCGGCGCGGCCCGGGCCGAGCCAGCCACGCTGAGGCGGAGGAGGACGGGGACAAGGTACGTCCCGGGCTCCAGCACCCACTGCCAGCTTGAGCCCTGCCTCAGTCTACTCCCTGGGGATACCGCCCACATTACGCTAACCCCCAAACTGGGACCACGCGCCGGAGGAGGGGAGTAGGAGTGCAGTACCGCTGTTCTAAGCGCTGGGTACCCCTGCCCACTGCCAGAGGGTGGCCTGGTAGGGGCCAGGGAGGGCACAGGTTGGTGCCCCCCATGCCCTTGGTTTTTTCCCCTGTCCCCCAACCCCCCTTCCAGGGCTTCCCAGTCCCTGAAGGTGGGATGGGTGGGGCAGAAGGCAGGCTGCTGGGGCTGAGCTGGAGCTGGGAGTGCGTTAATGATTAATCTTGGACACAGTGGCCAGAGCCCTAGGGGAGGAGGGGCAGAGATCTCCCCTGTCTCCATCAGCCCTTCCTAGAAAGGGGATCAGAGCAGGAACCGGAGACCATAGTAAGGGATGGATCCCCTCTGCTGGGGGAAGGCCCTGGCCTGTACCCCAGAGGAAGCAAAGCCACCAAGGAGAGGTTTGGGAGAGTGGGACAAACCCTGGCATCCAGGAGGGGTCCTATAGGAAATCCTACAGTTCCTGTTTCCTAGCCCAGTGCCCAGGAAGGGGGTCCAGCTTGATCTGCCCCTTCGGTGCCAGGCCAGCATTTTGGTACCAGCACAGAGCACACTACAGACCGAGCCCTGCCCAGTGGGAACTGCCCCGCCCAGCTGCCCAGAGCCAGAGAGGTGATGGGCATGTCTGGCTGCTGTAACCCACACCAGGGGGAAGGAAAGGGAGAGAAGGCAGCATGCCTGACACCTGATCCCCGGGCTGCCGCGGTGACAGGTGCATGAGAATCCTCCAGAGGGGAGAGAGGTGTAGAGGACTGTCCATTCCAGTTGGGAAAACCCAATCTCTTCCTTTACTGACGGGGTGACCTGAGGCCCAGAGAGGGTGAGGCTCATCCAGGCCCACACAGGGGGCACAGGAGGGCAGTCCTGGACCAGAGCAGTCACTGTGTACGCACTGTTCCTTGTCCTGTGAAGGAGGCATTGCTACCTATCCCCATTATCCAGAGGGGGATACTGAGGCTCAGGGAAATTCAATGACTTGTCCAAGGTCACATGGCTCAGAGGTAGCTGAGCTGACTCCAAATCATAGGAGTCTTGCCCTGGCCCCCATTTCAGGACCCCAGCCCAACCCATGACCTCTCTCTGCTCCTTTGGGGTCCTGCCTTCTTGGATCTGCCTGGGCTGCCCCAAACCCTCAGCTCTGGACACCCCCCCTCGCCTCCCTGGCTCCCAGCTCCGCCTGACACTTCAGCGGGTGAGCAGGCTGCTACCCCGGGAGCCGAGACAACGAAGCCCTGTTCCCAGCTGCCACCTCAGCCTGCTTTATTCCCTGCTTGCTCAGGCAGAGCCCTTCCTGGAGGAAGCTCCTTGCGGACAGAGAATGCCTGGTCCCCATGCATCCCCTTCCCTTAATGGGTCCGATGCCCTCTTGTCGCCCAGCAAGGGAGGAGTGTGTCCCCCACAGCCCCTCCCACTGTGTTCTGAGGGACTGGGTGTGCCATCCAGTGAAAGAGGCAATGATTAACCTGAGAGAATGATGCACAAATGGAATTCTGGGCCCGGCTGCAGGCTCCTGAAGGGCTCCTTGCTTCACTTTGACTGGGTGAGGAATATGGATGAGCCCTTTTAGGGGCTCCACACGACTCCAAACAGGGCAGAGCAGGATGGAACACAGGTGCCCATGGGGGTCATCAGGCTGGGGACTGCTGGAATCTCCAGGTGAGGGGTGATGGTGGGAGGAAGTGGGGGCCCAGAAGATGCCTGCCTTCCCTCCTGCTAGTTCTGGCTCCTTGGATGGGGATGGTATCCTTCTAGAAGTCTGGACAGAGCCCGCTTCCCCTACCAGGTGGGATCTAGGAGGATCACAATACAATCAGAGGAGCTAACGCTGAGTGTGTGAAGGGCTCTGCGTGCCTCACAGCAGGCCTGTGAAAGCATCATAGTACCTGCCATTTTTTAGGAAACCAAGGCTCAGAGAGGGGAAGTCACTTGCCCAAGGTCACCCAGCTTGGGGGGTGGTGGAGCCAGCATTTGTTACCAGGCGAGTTTCCAGGAATGGAGAGGTGGGTGTATGTATCTCCGGCATTGTGCATTGCAAGTGTCAATACCTTTTCACAAACCTTTATATTGTTACATAGTTTTAGGCAAATAAGCGCATAAGAATCCTTAAAAAATATTTCAGGCATGTTGTAAGGTACAGAGACTGATATTATCAACTCCTACATACTCAGCTCTGGGGTTCTCAGCATTTTTGGAGCTAATGACAAAGTGACTGACTTCTTGGTGAAGCTGTGACTTGCAACGCCCCAGTTAGCGCTTCTCTAAGGCTACTCAAATCCCCCCCTCAGGAAGCGGGGTGATTTACCCAGACAAGGCAGTGTAGCAGGAAGAGCTGTGGCCTTGCTCCTCATTTTGGCTTTGCCGTGTAGGCAAAAAAACTGAGCCTCAGTTTCCCCACACATCACATGGGGCTAGCAGAGGAGACTGGGAGTGTCTGTCAAGGTCACAGGCATGGATGCCCTTTGTTTTTGTTTTTGTTTTTGAGACGGAGTCTTGCTCTGTCACCCAGGCTGGAGTGCAGTGGTGCAATCTCGGCTCACTGCAAGCTCCGCCTCCCAGGTTCACACCATTCTCCTGCCTCAGCCTCCCGAGTAGCTGGGACTATAGGCGCCCACCACCAAGCCTGGCTAATTTTTTTATAATTTTAGTAGAGACGGGATTTCACTGTGTTAGCCAGGATGGTCTCAATCTCCTGACCTCGTGATCTGCCCGCCTCGGCCTCCCAAAGTGCTGGGATTACAGGCGTGAGCCACTGCGCCCGGCCGTGGATGCCCTTTGAAACAGCAGAGAGAGATGACCCCGAAAGTTCAAAAAGTGCTTTCTGAATCATCAAAGAACATTACCCTCTCTCAACTGCTGGGCCAGCTACCACCTGCATCCACCCCTGCAGGCTAGGTCGCAGCAGGGGCCAGATGTCTGGGCTGACATTTTGGAAGTGGTCCTCTGAGCCAGCGAGTTGGGATCCAGCTGAAATGCTCCAATAGGTGGTCTTCCCCCTCTCTGCTCCAGCACCCCATTCTAGAGGGGCTCAGATTGAGGAAGCTTCTAGGTGCTTGCAAGTCACTTCCCCAGTACCCCTGGATGGAGGGTTAACCTATCCCATCCGCCCCTTCTGCTGTGCCACCCACACTTCCCAGCTCCTTCTCAGTCCCAGGCCCCTGTTGCCCCTTCCTCACTTGGTGCACTGAGGTTCAGAGAGGGCAGAGTGTCTTGCCTCGGCCACACAGTGAGGAGAGGTGGGGCTCATCTTCCTCCAGCCAGGCTGCAGATTTTCAAAGTGGAAATATCTTTATTTATCTTTCCAAAGTAATATAAGCTGTTTTGTAAAGAGTGTGTGTGTGTGTGTGTGTGTGTGTGTGTGTGTGTGTATCATCACAGAATCAAAATATGTTCCAGAAAGTGAATGGGCTTACTCCCCAGAGAGCTACAATTTATAACTGGGTGTCTTTCCAGACCCTTATACACATGTACGAATGTACAACTTTTCTCTACATGAATAAGTTTATTCCATAAACAGTGCATTCCAGGCTTAATATTAGGCAACTCTTTTTTTTTTTTTGAGACGGAGTTTCGTTCTTTTTGCCTAGGCTGGAGTGCAATGGCACGATATTGGCTCATTGCAACCTCCGCCTCCCAGGTTCAAGTGATTCTCCTGCCTCAGCCTTAGGATTAAAGGCATGCGCCACCATGCCCAGCTAATTTTTGTATTTTTAGTAGAGATGGGGTTTCTCCATGTTGTCAGGCTGGTCTCAAACTCCCGACCTCAGGTGATCCACCCGCCTTGGCCTCCCAAAGTGCTGGGATTACAGGCGTGAGCCACCACATCCGGTCAGGCAACTCTTTTTTAATCTCTCCGAGCCTCAGTTTCCTCATCTTCTAAATGGGGGTAAAGGCTCTGTGAGCACTGGAGGAAATGATACTGCAGTGGCCACTTTTATATGCCCATCTCAGATTGATTGTTAGATTATCTTTGAGCCACATTCCTGCAGGTGGATTGCTGGGTCTGAGAACAGGCACACTCAGAACTGTAATAGCTGCTGTCAAATCTGCACTACGAACATCATAGGGAGAGTTGTTTTGCTCCACTCTTGAAAGCTCCTTCCATATCCCGATGGGATTCCACTCCAGCTACAGAAAGCCCTGGGATACCTCACCCCACCACCTTCTCTGCCAGAGCCCTGTTCCTGTATGTGCATATGAGCAAACAGCACGGATGTGCCTCAGTTGGTGAATGGCTTTTGTTTCTTGGAGTTTCTTTTTTTAAGATGGGGTCTCACACTGTTGCCCAGGCTTGGAGTGCAGTGGTACGTTCATACCTCTCTGTAACCTTGAACTTCTGGGTTCAAGGGGTCCTCTTGCCTCAGCCTCCTGAGTAGCTGGGGCTACAGGCGTGCACCACCACACAGGGCTAATGTTTAAATTTTTTATACAGATGGGGTCTCACTGTGTTGCCCAGGCAAGTCTCGAACTCCTGGGCTCAAGCAATCTGCCTGTCTTGGCCTCCCCAAAATGCTGGGTGGCGCACGCCACCGTGCCCGGCTGGGGAATGGTTTATGGGGGAATAGCGGTGCTGCAAACTCTGATACAGCCCTAGCTGCCCTGTTTTGTCTCCTTAGGGAGCTCTTCTTCACCCTGCTCCGTAAGCACAGGCTCCCTGTCCTTCCTCACCCTTCCCTGGTGACTCTAGTTATTCCTATGGCCTCAATTCCCACTTTGGTGCCCAGCTCCCCGCCTACCTCTTTCCCTCCCCCAAGACCCCCCTCTTTGCTCCTACTGCTCTTCAGGCATTCTATGATCATCCCAAACATCCCTCAGACTCAGAGTATTCTAAACAGAACCAGACACCACCTGCTTCACCCAGCATTCAACCTGGCCCTTTCTCAGCCTCCCAGACTCAGGGACTAGCTCTACCTCCAGCCAGCCAGTCACCCAACAGCAACTCTTCCCTCCTCTCCTCCATACCTGCTGCCAATAGGATGCTACCTTTGCATGGTCTACAGACAGCTCTGGTACTTCCCCAGCCTTCTTGTTCCAGGTCACACCTGCACAGCTGTAACAACTACTATGGAGGTCGGCCTGCTCCTCCCTCTCCTTCCCCATCCCTACAGTTCATTTCTTACCCAGTAGCCCAATGGGAATCCCATCTGCTCCCTCCTCTGCTGAAGACCCTCCTGTGGGTCTGTCCCTACAGCCCACAGGATCTAGGTGAGACTCAGTAGCATGCTTCCTGAAAGCCCTGCATGTCCCTCTTTTTTTTTTTTTTTTTTTTTGAGATGGAGTCTCGCTCTGTTGCCCAGGCTGGAGTGCAGTGGCGCGATCTCTGCTCACTGCAAACTCTGCCTCCCAGGTTCAAGCGATTATCCTGCCTCAGCCTCCCGAGTAGCTGGTATTACATGCGCCTGCCATCACGCCCGGCTAATTTCTGTATTTTTAGTACAGACGGGGTTTCACCATGTTGGCCAGGCTGGTCTCGGACCCCTAACCTCAGGTGATCTGCCCGCCTTAGCCTCCCAAAGTGCTGGTATTACAGGCGTGAGCCACTGCGCCAGGCCTCTGCATGTCCCTCTTAACCCTGCCCTAGTTTCTGGCTGTCTCTGTAGTCTCTCCCCTGCCCACCCAGCCTATTACACGCAAACACACCAAACACTCCAGCCAGGTGGAAAGTTTGTTTCTCAATTGCCCTGGGCCTTTGCATGTGCTTTTCTCTCTGTGTGGCTCATTCTAGGGTAACAGGCATATTAGTTAATGCTAGCTGCTGTAACAGACAAACCTGAAGTTCTAAAAGGCTTAATACAGTTCTCGTTTTCTTGAAATCCAGTCAGTGTCTGGTGGGTGGAGATGCAAAGACCTAGGCTCCTCCCAGCTCCGCCCATGCCCAGATCCTTGGAGACCACCCCGTTCATCCAGTAAATGGGAAAGGAGACCACAGAAAAGGTCCACCCACTTAACCTCATCAGCTGGCATTCTGTTCACATATCATTGGCCAGGACCCAGTTATGTGAGGACACTGAACTGCAAGGGCGCATGGGAAATATAGTCTAGCTGTGCTGCCGTGGAAAAAAGGGGACTGTCTTTGGAAATTGGAGACCACACAACAGCTTCTGCCACCAGAGGCCCCTACCCCAGGAAGCCTTCCTGATACTGCTGTCTCCGCCCCAAGGCTGGATCAGGTGTTTTCTTCGTGCTTCTGCAAGCCTCAGACAATCCGTTGTCCATCACACGCCTCACAGCTGTGTGTTCCTGTGTCTCCCCAGTTAGGACTGTGAGCCCTGAGTTCTCTGCACCGGGTTATCATGAACTCTAGTCCTGGAGTGCAGGTGCCCAGTAAATACCTGTGGGATGGATCAATTTAAAACTATCACGGGCTGGGCGCGGTGGCTCACGTCTGTAATCCCAGCACTTTGGGAGGCTGAGGCAGGTGGATCACTTGAGGTCAGAAGTTTGAGACCAGCCTGCCCAAGGTGGTGAAACCCTGTCTCTACTAAAAATACAAAATTAGCTGGGTGTGGTGGCGGGTGCCCGTAATCCCAGCTACTTGGAAGGGTGAGGCAGGAGAATTGCTTGAACCCAGGGGGCAGAGGTTGCAGTGGGCCGAGATTGCCCCAGTGCACTCCAGCATGGGTGACAAGAGTGCAACTCTGTCTCAAACAACAACAACAACAAAAAACAACCAAACAAAAAACTATCGTGGCTGCAAGATGTCCACAATTTATCGATAGGTGGGAAAAAAGCAAGTTAACAAAATATGTCCCCAAAGAAGCACGTGCATCTGGGCTCCATGGCTCACACCTGTAATCCCAGCACTTGGGGAGGCTGAGGCAGGAGGGCCACTTGAGCCCAGGAGTTCAAGACCAGCCTGGACAACATAGCAAGACCCCATCTCTACAAAAAATCAAAATGCCAAAATTAGCCAGGCGTGGTGGTGCGTACCTGTAGTCCCAGCTACCTGGGAGGCTGAGGTGGAAGGGTCTCTTGAGCCCAGGAGTTTGAGGCTGCAGTGAGTCATGATCACGCCACTGTACTCCAGCCTGGGTGACAGAGCAAGACCTTGTGTCAAAAAAACAAAAACAGTTTCCATTCCATCATCTATATAAATATATGGCCAGAAATCCTGTGATGGTGATGACCTCTGGGGTTGGGGTTCTTTTAATCATCTTCTTTATACTCTTCTGTATTGTTTGAATTTTTTTTTCAGTATACTGCTTTTATCATTGAAAAAGTTTTTGCTGGGCACCATGGTGCATGTCTGTAATCCCAGCTACTTGGGTGGCTGAGGCAGGAGAATTGCTTGAACCCAAGGGGCAGAGGTTGCAGTGAGCCAAGATCTTGCCACTACACTCCAGCCTGGGCAACAGAGTGAGACCCTGTCTCAAATAAAATAAAATAAAATAAAAATTTCCTGGGGGTGGGGGTAGAGAACCAGCCAAAGATGTCATCGGCTGGGCGTGGTGGCTCACGCCTGTAATCCCAGCACTTTGGGAGGCTAAGGTGGGCAGATCATGAGGTCAGGAGATCGAGACCATCCTGGCTAACACGGTGAAACCCCGTCTCTACTAAAAATACAAAAAATTAGCCGAGCATGGTGGAGGGTGCCTGTAGTCCCAGCTACTCAGGAGGCTGAGGCAGGAGAATAACATGAACCTGGGAGGTGGAGTTTGCAGTGAGCTGAGATGGCGCCACTGCACTCCAGCCTAGGCGACAGAGCGAGACTCTGTCTCAAGAAAAAAAAAAAGATGTTATCATCAATACTCTGGAAAGAGACCCCTCTGGCAGGGCTGGAAGCACAGGTCTACCATCAGTGCTCCCTACTCTGGAAATCTTTGCTTCCCTTGGCTAGTTGCTCACCTCCTCAGCCACGATCTCACTTCTTGTTCAAAAGCCTGCACTTCACTCTCACCTAGATGAAGTTCTCACTCCTCTATAAAATGGAGGTGATAACAAGAGCTCCCCAGAGAGGACTATGAGGCTGCATGATGCATGACAGGTCCCAAGCACAGAAGTGGACCGTGTTGGGTTCAGAGTCCACGCTAATAAACTACAGCCCCTGCGGTTTGATGCCAGCTCCGCCCTGACTCACCGTCAGAAAGCTGTCTTCATTCTAGCTCAGCTCAAAAGGCAGAAGGTCAATGGGATGTTAGGCTGGATAAAACAACTCCATACCATGTCCCAAACCTGGTTCCAGTACCTAGAGAGAAGGCGACTCTGGTCTGCCTTGTGGCAGTTTAAGCTCTGGTGTTTCGTGGGTGCTTGGGGGCTGCTCCCAGACTGGTGAGGCTTTGAGGGAAAGGGGGACTCAGAGCAAGTGAGGATGCCTGCTGTTCCCTGGGAGAGGCTGGCAGCTGCTTAGCCTATGAAAGTGCTTAGTGTGGGATGAATGACTGTCACAATAATGATCATTATTAATTGATGGTGGCACCTGGGTCCCTAAATGGTGACACCTGCCTGGTCCATGATGGGGTTCTAGGCAGCAGTGCTGAAGGGAGGATGGAGGAGGCATTTCTGGGCACAAGGAGACCCTCTGCCCATGGGCAAAGCTGAGACAACTGACCTGAACCTAAGATTCAAGTGCCTGAACTGAGTCCTAGGGTTCCTGGGGCTTAGGGCCAGGGCACCTAGAACTGCCTCTTCTGCCAAGGCCTTGGGGAAGATCTGCATCTCCAATCAGCCCAAATCCTGCAGAGCTGGTCGAGTGTCTGGGTATCACCATTCCTCACCCAGGGATAGAGGCAGGACACCCTCTCTGATGAAAGATTTAGAGCTCAGGAAGTGAAATCTTGCCAGACTCATCTTCTGAGCCCTGGTCAGATGCTCTGCCTCCTGGAAGCCTTCCAGGCTGAGTTAGTTGTTCATTCTTCTGGGTTCCCACAGATTTTAGATAAACCTTGGTCCCTGGTTGTGTCTCAGCATCTTTAAGCCCTGGAGTTTGGCAAGTCTGCGTATGTACTCCAGCTCTGTCTGCCCTCTACTAGCTGCGTGACCTTGGGCAGGTGACGTTACCTCTCTGAGCTTTGGTTTCTTTACCAGGAGGGTAGACTAACAGGGGTGCTTGATGCATCAGCTGTGAGACTTAAATGAAATGCAATAGGTGGGGCAATTAGCCCTCTGGCACCCCAGCCCACCTGCACCTCTCTGTCCCTCACTCAGCCTTAGAGCCTGTTCTGGGCTCTCTGCAGGCGTCTGCGGTTGCTGTGTCCTTGGCCCAAGGATACCTGGAATCTTTCTGTGCCCTTGGATGAAAGAGCTGCTTGCTTGTTGGGGTCCAAAGAGAGGTGAGGACTGGCCAGAGCTGTCCAGTGGAGGCAGAAGGCCTGGGCAACACCTGCAGGGTACTGGGGTGTGCCACCTGCTATCCCCAGGAAGCAAACTCATGAATATTCACACCACTGGAGTGGGAGGGAGCCAGCCAGCTTGCTGCTGGGTGTCATTGGAGCATTCCTGTCTCCCAGTGATCGCAGAGGCAGCCTGGGAGTTGGACGTGGCTCAGGCAGTGGGTAGAAAGGGGCAGCCAGCCACAGCCCGAGGTGAGTGTGTCTCTTTTGCTCCACCACAGGGGTTACAGGGAAAGTAGGATACCCTGAGACCTGACTGGTGGTGATGCTCTAAGCCAGAAGGTTTACCATCCTGGGCTGAGTTTCCCTTTGTGCATGATGTGGGGGAATAAGTCCTGTTTCTCCTTCATTCCCTGGAGGGCATCAGTTCAGCTAAACAGGAGGATGGCTGGGCCTGGCCTGCTGCCAGCTGCCTGCACTGATGCAGGCCAATGTGATGGGCGTAATCTAGAAGGGCAGGAATAGATGGAGTGGGCTGGTGACGGGGGGACCGTCCATCCTGAGTGCCTGCAGTTGTCACTACTGTGGGTGGAGGAGGTGGGAGACCCAGGTTCTAGTCCTGTCTCTGCTGCTGCTGGGCTGTGTTACCCCAAAGGTATCCTTGCCCTCTCTGAGTCTGAGCCTCCCTGCCTCTTTGTCTTCTGACCCTGAGGCTAGGAGTCTCTGGCTACATTGAGATCATCCCTGGACTTGGCTGCCTGCAAGCCTCCATCGTGGGCCAGTGGGCACACACTTTGATGGGGTTGTGGCTGGGACCCTGGGAACGTAATGATGATAATGATGATAACAATGATGGCAGGCCCTGCTGAGTGACTGTCTGCTCTGCACCAGCCTCGGGCTGGGTGCTTTCCCTGTGGAATGCAGAGGATCTGCACAGCACCCTGTGATGGAGGGTCAGCTGGTACAGGTTGAGTATCCCTTATCCGAAATGCTTGGGACCAGAAGTGTTTCGGATTTCAGATTTTTCAGATTTTGAAATATATGCATATATGTAATGAGATATCTTGGAGATGGAACCCAAGTCTAAACATTTAAGTTTAGAAAGAATTTATGTTTCTTTCTTTCTTATTGATTTTATTGTTTAAGCTTTTTTTTTTTTTTGAGACGGGGTCTCGCTCTGTCGCCCAGGCTGGAGTGCAGTGGAGTGATCTCGGCTCGCTGCAAGCTCCGCCTCCTGGGTTCACGCCGTTCTCCTGCCTCAGCCTCCTGAGTAGCTGGGACTACAGGTGCCTGCCACCAAGCCTGGCTAATTTTTTTTTGTATTTTTAGTAGAGATGGGGTTTCACTGTGTTAGCCAGGATGGTCTCGATCTTCTGACCTCATGATCCACTCACCTCGGCCTCCCAAAGAGCTGGGATTACAGGCATGAGCCACTGTGCCCAGCCTAATTTTAATTTTTTTGAGATAGGGTCTTGCTCTGTAGCCCAGGCTGGAGTTTAGTGGCACGATCATGGCTCACTGCAGCCTCGACCTCCCAGGTTCAGGTGATACTTCCGCCTCAGCCTCCCCAGTAGCTGGGACTACAGGCATGCACCACCATGCCTGGCTAATTTTTGTATTTTTTGTAGAGATGAGGTCTTGCCATGTTGGTCAGGCTGGCCTCAAACTCCTGAGCTCAAGTGATCCTCCTGTGTCTGTCTTTCAAAGTGCTGGAATTACAGGCATGAGCCACCACACCCCATCTTCATGTATGTTTCTTATACACATAGCCTCAAGGTAGTTTTATTTTTCCCTTCAGGATGCTAAATAAACCTGCGCTTTGACTGAGACCTGTCACGTGAGGTCAGGTATGGAATTTTCCATTTGTGGTGTCATGTAGGCATTCAAAAAGTTTTGGATTTAGGGACATTTCAGATTTCAATTTTTATTTTTATTATTTTTTAATCCATTTATTTATTTTTGAGAAAGAGTCTCTCTCTGTCACCCAGGCTGGAGTGCAATGGCGCAATCTCAGCTCACTGCAACCTCTGTCTCCCAGGTTCAAGCAATTCTCCTGCCTCAGCCTCCCAAGTAGCTGGGATTACAGGTGCGCACCACCACACCCGGCTAATTTTTTGTATCTTTAGTAGAGACGGTGTTTCAGCATGTTGGCCAGGCTGGTCTTGAACTCCTGACCTCGTGATCTGCCTGTCTCGGCCTCCCAAAGTGCTGGGATTACACCGGGCCTGGCCCATGGGAGCTTTTACATGCATGTGCCTCACATGTATTACTTTCGTCTGTAGGTCTCCTACACAGGATCTCTCCTGTGTCTCAGTGAGGTGTTGTCTGCCTGGACCATGTCCTCATCCACATTCTCTGCACGGGCTCTATAGCCCTGGACACCTTCTGCCCTGAGGGTCATGGGAAGTCATTCATCACACATTCACCAGGTGCCAGGCTCGGGGAGCTCAGGGATGAGTCACTGGTAGGCTTGCCTGCAGCGGGGCATGGAAGGGACCTCACCTCTGGCACGCCGGTGAACCAAGGCTGGGTCAGAGTCAATGGTATGATAATAATTAATATGAGTTGATCTCCTGGGTACGTGCATTATCTCAGTCTCACAGCCTTAGGGCATGGCATGGTGGCTTACACCCAGCACTTTGGGAGGTGGAGGTGGGAGGATCACTTGAGGCCAGGAACTCAAGATCAGCCTGCAACATAGTGAGAGCCCCCATCTCTACAAAAAATTAAAAACTTAGCTGGGCATGGGTGGTATGCACTTGAGCGGCCGAGGTGGGAAATTCACTTGAGGCCAGGTGTTCGAGACCAGCCTGGGCAGTAGAGTGAGACCCCCATCTCTACAAAATTTTTTTTAAAAAGTAGCCAGGCATGGTGGTGCATGCCTGTTAGTCCTAGCTACTCAGGAGGCCGAGGCAAGAAGATCCACTGAGCCCAGGATTTCAAGGCTGCAATGAGCTATGATCGTGCCACTTCACTTCAGCCTGGGTGATGGAGCAAGATCCTGTCTTTTTAAAAAAATTATCTCATAGCCTAGTGACTGTTCTCCCTCAAGCCAGGCTCCTGGCTGCCAGCTAGCTCCTCTCCCGACCTCAGTCTGCCCAGGGGCTCTGCCTGTGATTACAGAGCGCTCTGTGTGCCTTGATCTTGCTGTTGTGTGTCCATTGCACACACGAGGAGACTGAGGCTTAGGGAGGGTGAGGTTCATAGCTTCATGCCTAAGTTTACAGTAGCTAGGCAGGAAAGGCACAACCAGCCTTGGACCCCTCAGGTGGCTGGCACGGGAGGGACGGACACCAGGGCCCCCTCTGCTTTCCCTCCCCTTATCCTGGCCGCAGGCTCAGCCCACAGAGACGGGACCCTGCTGTGCTCCCAGGATAGAGCTTCCTGTCCAACCCCACATCCCCCACTTCCTGCAATGCAACTTTCCCTCCTTCCTTCCCCTGGGCTTGGGACAGGGCTTAGGACACACCAGGCAGGGGCTGCCATGGACAAAGCAGGAAGCAGCACATTGGAGTTCCATAGACCTGGGCTCTAATTCCAGCCCTGCCCCCGCTTTGCTGAATGACCCTGGACAAGTTATGTCACCTCCTGGAACCTCACCTTTCCCATCTACCAAATGGGGGTGACAGCAGGGTGGGGGGTGGAGTGGTATCCACTGAGTGGTTGCTGAGTAGGGTCAGTTAGATGCTCTGGAGAGGCAGGCCCCTGCTTTGGGCCTGGCTCCTAACAGGGGCTCAAAAGTAAAACTAGGAGGGATAGCCCAAGGTTCAGTGGCTGGCAGCACCCAGCACGTGTGGCAGGGGCCTGGCAAGCTTTGAGAAATAGCAAATGGGGGCCAGGCTCAGTGGCTCACGCCTGTAATCCCAACACTTTGGAAGGCCAAGGCGGGTGGATCGCTTGAAGTCAGGAGTTTGAGACCAGCCTGGCCAACATGGTGAAACCCCGGCTCTACTAAAATGCAAAAATTACTTGAGTGTGGTGGTGGGCACCTGTAGTCCCAGCTACTCGAGAGGCTGAGGCAGGAGAATCACTTGAACCCAGGAGGTGGAGGCTGTAGTGAGCCGAGATCACACCACTGCACTCCAGCCTGGGCAACATAGGGAGACACCGTCTCAAAAACAAACAAAAGAGCAAATGGGAGAATGAAACCAGTGAGTGAATGAGTGAATGAGTGTACCAGTAATGGGGTTGGGGGGGTGCGGGTGGAGGAACTGTCCTGGGCGGGGCCAGGTGGAGCCTGATTGGCGGGGCAGGGAGGCTGGTCTGCCCCCTGCTGCTGGGCCTGAACCTCAGCGCCTCCACTATTGCAGCCTCCCTGATTCCAGAAGGTACCTTGGTGAGTGGGGCTGCTGGGGCCGGGGTGGGTCCTTGGGATTTCCAGAGGGCAAGCCACAGGAATCCTAATCCCTCCTCATCTTTAAGTCAGAGAAACTGAGGCCCAGAGTTTTGGACTATGATCTGGTCCACGACTCTGCCCTGTTTTCTGCTGGGTCGCTGAGAAGTGGGAGGCTGACAGGGGTGCTTGAGGCTGAGGCAGGTTTGTGCTTTGTGGGCGGCCCAGCCCCTACTCCTTTTGGGGTTGAAGGCAGGCCCCCCGGGCCTCAGGAGGGGTACAGATAACACTCTAAGTGATGACTATGTGCTGGTTGCTTGCTTAGAAAAGTTCTCCAGAGAATGGCTAGGGGCGCCTCCAGCTTTCTCATTTTACAGATGAAAAACTGAGACTCCATGAGGGTTCTTGGCTTGTCTGAAATCACAGTGCTGGATTGAAACACAGGCTTGAGGGTCCCAGAGCCTGAGGTTGGTGCTGGGGCCCCTCCATGGCTGCCGGGTTTATTCCGCTTTGCAAGCTTTCTGATTTGTTACTTAAATGTGTTAAGTAACAAATTAACTAACACATTTGTTAACGTGTTGACAATTATTGCCTTTTTTTGAGATGGGGCCTCACTCTGGTCACCCAGGCTGAAGTGCAGTGGTGCGACCTTGGCTCACGGTAACCTCTGCCAACCTCTGCCCCCCAGGCTCAAGCAATCCTCCCACCTCAGCATAACTTTTCCAGGGCATAGTGTGTGTGACCCTCCCCCAGGGGGACTGACTCCAGGGACAGTGGTGATAATGCATGCATGTAGTTATTAGCACATGTGACTTTTCCTGGCCTCAGGGGCCCAGGGCGCAGTGCAGTGTGAGCCAGGACAGAAGTGGAAAGTTCGGGACAAGAGTAGAAAGTTTGGGGACCTGGTTTTGCAGCTAAGGGGAGGTGGGAAGGCCCTCCAAGCCGCAGCTCTCTCCTGGACTCCAGTTCCTCAGCCTGAACTGCCCCCGTTACAGTCCATGTCTCAGTCCCCTGCTGATAGGGTTGCCACGCTTAGATCATCCCCCAAAACAAATAACAACAGGCTGGGCACAGTGGCTCATGCCTATAATCCCAGCACTTTGGGAGGCTGAGGTGGGAGGATTGCTTGAGTCCAGGAGTTCAATACCAGCCTGGGCATCTCAAAAATAATAATATAAAATAAATATTAAAAATGTATAAAAATGGGCCAGGCGCGGTGGCTCATGCCTGTAACTCTAGCACTTTGGGAGGCCAAGGTGGGCAGATCACAAGGTCAGGAGATCAAGATGATCCTGGCCAACATGGTGAAACTCCATCTCTACTAAAAATACAAAAATTAGCTGGGTGTGGTGGCGTGTGCCTGTAATCCCAGCTACTTGGGAGGCTGAGGCAGGAGAATCGCTTGAACCGGGGAGTCAAAGGTTGCAGGGAGCCGAGATTGCGCCACAGCACTCCAGCCTGGCGACAGAGCGAGACTCCGTCTCAAAAAAATAAAATAAACATATAAAAATGAAAAAATAAGGAAATAACAACAAAACCTCCAGGACATCTAGTTAAGTTTGAAGTTTGAATAATTTTTTTTTTTTGAGACAGAGTCTCACTCTGTCACCCAGGCAGGAATACAGTGGCACCATCTTGGCTCACTGCAACCTCTACCTCCTGGGTTCAAGCGATTCTTCTACCTCAGCCTCCTGAGTAACTGGGACTATAGGGGCATGCCACCACACCCAGCTAGTTTTTGTATTTTCAGTAGAGACAGAATTTCACCATATTGGTCAGGCTTGTCTCAAACTCCTGACCTCAGGTGATCCACCCTCCTCGGCCTCCCAAAGTGCTAGGATTACAGGCGTGAGCCACCGTGCCCAGCCTTGGAATAATTTTTAGTATAACTATGTCCCATGCAATATTTGGAATATACTTATACTGTAAAAAATTGTATTCATTGTTTATCTGAAATTTGAATTTAACTGAGCAACCCTACAGGCTGGCTTTGGAAAGGGGGTGGGTATGTGAGCAGAGGCCTGGCCAGCTGTGTGACTTGAGCCTTCTTCTTCCCAGCTGTGAGCCTCAGTTTCTCCATCAGCCACCCTACAGACTCTAGGGGCACAAGGGCCAGTGAGGAGAGAAGAGCCCTGGGCTCTTACTGGGCACCTCACCTGTACCACTGTGGGGTGGGTGGCACAGGGGACAGGTAGGGCTGGCTGTGCCTTCTGAAAGGTGAAGGATTCAGGCCCCAGAGAGCCCTTGGCCTTCCCTATAGACAGCCCTGGCCCAGGCCTGGGGGAGGGAGGGCCCAGGGCACGGGGAGAGGGTCTTCTTTTCCTTCTTATTTATTTGTTTATTTATTTGAGACAGGGTCTCACTGTGTCATCCAGAGCTGGAGTGCAGCGGCACAGTCATGGCTCACTGGAACTCAGGCTCAAGCAATCCTCCCGCCTCAGCCTTCCAAGTAACTAGGACTACAGGCATGTGCCACCACGCCTGGTGAATTTTTTTAAATTTTGTTTTGTAGAGATAGGTTCTCACCATATGCCCAGGCTGGTCTTGAACTCCTGGCTCAAGCACTCCGCCTGCCTCATCCTCCCAAAGTGCTGGGATGACAGGTGTGAGCCACTGTGCCCAGGCTTTTTCCTTTTGCCTTAGAAAAGTGTTTCATGGTCGGGCGCGATGGCTCACGTCTGTCATCCCAGCAATTTGGGAGGCCAAGGCGGGCGGATTGCTTGAGCCCAGGAGTTCGAGACCAGCCTAGGCAACGTGGCAAAACTGTCTCTATTTTTAAAAAAATTAAAATATAAAAAAGGAAATAATTTCATTATGATGCCCTAAAAGGTATAAAAAATAACTTCAGGATCTGGGAGAATTTGAAGTAAAATTGAAGAATGTTTTAAATATATATTTTTATAAAAAATACAAGAAAAAGAAACAGAAGAAAAAATAAGATAACTAAAAAAAAAAAGGTAATAAGTATTAGTTGTCTCATTTTTTCTTCTGTTTCTTTTTCTTTTATTTCTTATCAGCCAGCTTAAAAATTAAAAGGAGTGGAAAGTTTGGGGCCCTGGTTCTCTACCCGGTTCATTTTAATTTTTAAATTTTAACCTTCTCCCTGCCCCATTCCCCAACCTCTCTTTGAGTTGCTTCACCCACCGTCTCTGCAACCCTGGGGCTGTCTCTTTCCAGGTGGTTGTCAGTCTATCTCTCCAGTGCCTCTCTGTCCCTGTCTGGACCCTGCTGGGGGGCCACAGAGCAGGCAAAGGCAGGGCTCAACTGCCAGGCCTGGGCAGCCTTGGGGGCTCCCTGGGGCCAGCTTCCTGACACTTGCCCTACTCTGTGCTGCCCCTGCAGGTGTCTGAGATGCTGCCACCGCAGAAGAAGCCCTGGGAGTCCATGGCTAAGGGGCTGGTGCTGGGCGCGCTCTTCACTAGTTTCCTGCTGCTGGTGTACTCCTATGCCGTGCCCCCGCTGCATGCCGGCCTGGCCTCCACGTGAGTGGCCCAGCTGGGCAGATGATGGGTGTAGGTGGGGGAGGGATGGCACCCCACCCATGGGGCCCTGTAATTACCACAGGGCCTGCCCCAGTGATCTTGGGTAGCCACCCTGCACCCTGCACCATGCTGTGCCAGACAGAAATTCCACTGATGGCAGAGCTCGCCGTGTAACTCTGAGCCTTGGTGTGCCCATCTGTGAAGTGGGGATAAAAACAGAGCCTTTCGGCTGGGCACGGCAACTCACGCCTGTAATCCTAGCACTTTGGGAGGCCCAGGCGGGCAGATCGTCTGAGGTCAGGAGTTCGAGACCAGCCTGGCCAACATGGTGAAACCCCATCTCTACTAAAAATACAAAAATTAGCTGGGCATGGTGGTGTGTGTCTGTAATCTCAGCTACTTGGGAGTCTGAGGCAGGAGAATTGCTTGAACCCGGAAGGCAGAAGTTGCAGTGAGCCGAGATGGCACCACTGTACTCCAGGCTGGGCCAACGGAGTGAGACTGTCTCAAAACAAAAAGAAAAACAAACAAACAAAAAAAACCCAGAGCCTTCCTCATAGAGCATGAGAATCAGGTAACACTGTCTGTACAGGGCTCAGATTTGCATCATCTGAGATGCCAACGGGGCCCTGGTGGGGGCGACCTGTCCATGGGCATGGATTCAAACGGGTCGGTCTGACTCCAGGCCCAGCTCCTGAGAACCAGGCTCTCCCGTTTCCTCATGGGGCTGCTCTGCACAGACCCAGCACAGCCTGTAGCTGGTGCAATACCAGTGGTTGGTGATATTAACTTGACACAGAGGAAACTGCAAATTTCTGCAAAAATGGACCATTTTTGTCCTATAAAATGGCAGTTTCATGTGGCCCAAGCTGATACTGATTCATGGTACATGCAACACAGTGGCCATGAATGAGAGGAGAGCCTGTGTGCCTCATCTCACAACACCGTGAATAGGGCCTGTTATCGTCCCCATTTCACAGAAGAGGAACATGAGGCTAGAGAGGCCAAACCACCCGCGCAGGCACCCAGCCTGGACTCAGGCCCCACAGGTCTCACTATCCCAGCTCCTTTGCCACCACTGTTCCCAATAATCTCCCTCTCTAACTACCAGAGTCCTGAGGGCCCCAGCACCCCCCTGAGGCTCTCCCCACCTCTCTGTCCCCAGCAGGACCCCGGAGGCCGCAGCGTCCTGCTCTCCACCTGCACTCGAGCCAGAGGCAGTGATCCGGGCCAACGGCTCGGCGGGGGAGTGCCAGCCGCGGCGCAACATCGTGTTCTTGAAGACGCACAAGACGGCCAGCAGCACCCTGCTCAACATCCTGTTCCGCTTCGGCCAGAAGCACCGGCTCAAGTTCGCCTTCCCTAACGGCCGCAATGACTTCGACTACCCGACCTTCTTCGCCCGCAGCCTGGTGCAGGACTATCGGCCCGGGGCCTGCTTCAACATCATCTGCAACCACATGCGCTTCCACTACGACGAGGTGCGCGGCCTGGTGCCGACCAACGCCATCTTCATCACGGTGCTCCGCGACCCCGCCCGCTTGTTCGAGTCCTCCTTCCACTACTTCGGGCCGGTGGTGCCCCTCACGTGGAAGCTCTCGGCCGGCGACAAGCTGACCGAGTTCCTGCAAGACCCGGATCGCTACTACGACCCCAACGGCTTCAATGCCCACTACCTCCGAAACCTGCTCTTCTTCGACCTGGGCTATGACAACAGCCTGGACCCCAGCAGCCCGCAGGTGCAGGAGCACATCCTGGAGGTGGAGCGTCGCTTCCACCTGGTGCTCCTTCAAGAGTACTTCGACGAGTCGCTGGTGCTGCTGAAGGACCTGCTGTGCTGGGAGCTGGAGGACGTGCTCTACTTCAAGCTCAACGCCCGCCGCGACTCGCCCGTGCCGCGGCTCTCGGGGGAGCTGTATGGGCGCGCCACCGCCTGGAACATGCTGGACTCCCACCTCTACCGCCACTTCAACGCCAGCTTCTGGCGCAAGGTGGAGGCCTTCGGGCGGGAGCGCATGGCCCGCGAGGTGGCCGCCCTGCGCCATGCCAACGAGCGCATGCGGACCATCTGCATCGACGGGGGCCACGCCGTGGACGCCGCCGCCATCCAGGACGAGGCCATGCAGCCCTGGCAGCCGCTGGGCACCAAGTCCATCCTGGGCTACAACCTCAAGAAGAGCATCGGGCAGCGGCACGCGCAGCTCTGCCGGCGCATGCTCACGCCCGAGATCCAGTACCTGATGGACCTCGGCGCCAACCTGTGGGTCACCAAGCTCTGGAAGTTCATTCGCGATTTCCTGCGGTGGTGACGTCCCACCGCCCAGCGGCTTGCCTGCCTGCTCGCTCCCTGCAGAGGGGCTGAGCAGGACGCCGCTGGTGCTGGCCGCCCCCAGCCCCCTCCTGGTGCCACCTCAGACCCCGGGGTGAGGGGGGGCTCCCTGGGGGGAGGCAGCCAGCCAAGACTGGGCCCATGAACACAGAGAGGGCCTAACCGAGATCAGTATTTAACTAATTATACCAGTTTTTATTAAACCCCTTTCCCTCCCCGATAAAGAATGTTCTATTTCTGCCTCCCCTTAAAGGGGAGACCTCAGAAGTAAAGGAATTTGATGTTGTGTTTTTGTTAATCAGCCTCAGTGGTGGTGACTTGGGGTGGGGGTTGGGGTGGGGGGAACCCAAGAGACCACAGTGGTGCCTGGGTGAGTCTGTGGGCAGAGCCCAATGGGGTGGCAGGGATTTGATGTGTTATTTGCTATATGCTATAGTTCTATATGGTTCAGGGACTCCCATGAGCTACCAAGGCCTGGAAAAGCGCGTGTGTATGTGTGCGCTTGTGTGCACGTGTGTGCATGTGTGCATGTGTGTGTGATCATCCTAAGGAGTACAACAGAGTACAACAGTTACTCACTCTGACTGTGTGCCCGGCACTAGGCTAAGGGCATTATCTCAACCCATCTTCACCAAAACTCAGCGACCTGGGGACTGTTATTGTCTCATGCTAGAGACAATGAAGGGTGCTCAGAGAGGGACAATCACTTCACCAAGATCACACAGCAAGTGGTAGGACTAGAGTAGGGGGCTGGGCGGGTAGAGGGTGTGGCCGGATCAGAATAGAGAGAGAGAGAGAGAGGGAGGAAGAGACAGGGAGGTGGCAGGGGTGGGGCCACTCAGTAGGGCATTGCCAACAGGCCCTGGGCCCAGGCTAAGGGCTTCTTGCACAGACTTCATTACTCCTCACAATAACTGAGGTCGTTATAATTACCGTCCCATTTTACAGATGTGGGAACGGACATTTGGACAGGGGAAGGGATTTGCCTGAGGTCACGTCGCAGGACGTATCAGACCAGGGACTCAAACCATCTCCCAGGGACCCCAAAGCCTTCCCATCTCCAGTGCCTGTCTCTCCCCTCCTCCACCCTCTCCCTCCATCCCTACTGGTCCCTGGCTCCTAGCCTGCCTCACTCTGTCTCTACCTGCCCCTCCTACTTCTGCCCCCCTATCCCAGGCCACCTCCCACACCTGCCTATACTCTGCCCCAACAAAAGCCCTGGGCTTCCCTGCTCCACCGTGAGATTCCATTCAATTAATCCAAAAAAAAATTTGGTATCCACCAAATCCCTGTTGTGCCCCCCAGCCCTGAGCTGCTCTGAGCATACAGCAGTCAACAAGCTAGCCAACTTGCTATTAGTGCCTGCCTATAATCCCAGCACTTTGGGAGGTTGGGGTGGGTGGATCTAGTGAGCCCAGGAGTTATACTAGCTTCAGCTACATGGCAAAATCCTATTTCTACAAAAACAAACAAACAAACAAAAACCACCACCAACAAAAAACAAGTTGGCCAATCCCTCCTGGGGCTCATATCCAGTGGGGAAGATGGCCACCAAGAAACCAATGCAGGCTGGGTGTGACTGACTAGGATGTGGACACACCCAGCTCTAACCACTGGCCTCATTCAGCATCCCCAGTGGGAGAGAAAGTCCTGGGGCACAGGACTTTCAGTCTTCCAGCTAGGAGCTGGCATCCAGGCCTGAATGGCAGAAACCAAAGTCAGGTGACTCTTTTTAATTTTTTTTTTTGAGACAGGATCTCACTATGTTGTCCAGATTGGTCTTAAACTCCTGGGCTCAAGCGATCCTCCTGCCTCAGCCTCCCCTGAGTAGCTGGAGGAGAATGCCACTATGCCTGGCTTCAAGTGACTCTTTATTTGAGACCTATTTATTTGAGACTCTTTATTTTAGACTCTTTATTTGAGACCTGTGTCAGGTTCCAGGCCAAGTGCTTGCATACCTTATCCAAATATATTCAGCCTCCCAGCTTTTAGACTAAAACTCAGAGAGGTTAAGTGACTTACCCAAAGTCACACAGCAAATTAGTGCCAGAGTCAGAATTCAAACCCATACCAGTCAGCTATTAACCTCTCACTGGGCTTGGGTTATTGCCTCCTAGGAGTGAACTTCTGGCCTGAGTAGAGTGAGGAGGAGTTAGGGTGACCAACCGTCCCAGTTTTCTGGAACTATCCTGGTTTTAGCATTGAAACTCCTATTTTCGAGGAAACCCCTCTGTCCCAGGCAATCAGGACAGTCCATCACCCTGAGAGAGGTTTGACCCCACCAATCCCTTAGAGCCACTGCCGGCACTTTCATAATGTTCTTTGTGGCAAGAAATAATATTGTTTGCAGCACACGCATGAGACCTTTAATTCATATGGAGAGAAATAAGGGAAAAAAAACCACTGACAGTAGCTGAGACTATTCATAGGAAAAGATGTTACTGATCCCAAATTCATGAGATAATTGCTCCCACCTTTGGTTTTGTTATAGAGAAGAGTGGTCTCCAACTCCTGGCCTCAAGCATTCCTTCTGCCTCACCCTCCCAGAGTGTTGGGATTACATGTGTGAGCCACCATGCCTGGCCTTCCTCACTTTTATTAATCAATGATACATGTAACTTAGTGTGCAATATAATATTCCGAGTTTAAGGAATTCCATACTAATCATATCTCCTGGGGCCCCTAAAGGCCTAGAAATGCCAGTAATAATATTATTTATTTATTTATTTATTTTGAGATAGAGTCTCATTCTGTTGCTCAGACTGGAGTGCAGTGGCATGATCTCGGCTCACTGCAGCCTCAAACTCTTGGGCTCAAGTGATCCTCCTGCCTCAGCCTCCCAGGTAGCTAGGACTACAGGCACTCGCCACCACAATTGGCTAATTTTTTGCTTTTTGTAGAAATGGGGTCTTGCTATGTTGCCCAGGCTGATCTCAAACTCCTGGCTTCACACAATCCTCCTGTCTCGGCCTCCCAAAGTGCTGGGTTACAAGCACAAGCCACTCCACCCAGCCTATTGCATGATTTATTTTTATTATTGTTACCAGTATTTTGAGGCCCTTAAGGATCCAAGGAGAACAAATCTGTCAGACAGCAGTGTCAGGAATATAAATTACTGCATTGGAATTTACAATCCACCTGGTTTGTTCTAATGGCATTATTATAGTTATTAACTCTTTTATTAACATTTATATTTTATTTTTATTTGTTTTATATATTTATTTTTTAGATGGAGTCTCGCTCTGTCATCCAGGCTGGAGTGCAGTGTTGCAATCTCAGCTCACTGCAACCTCAGCCTGCTGGGTTCAAGCGATTCTCCTGCCTCAGCCTCCTGAGTAGCTGGGATTGCAGGCATGAGCCACCACACCAGGCTAATTTTTGTATTTTTAGTAGAGATGGAGTTTCGCTATGTTGGGCAGGCTGGTCTCAAACTCCTGGCCTCAAGTGATCCACCCGCCTTAACCTCCCAAAGTGCTGAGATTACAGGTGTGAGCCACTGCACCCAGCCAACATAATTTATATTTTAATAAGTGATCATGGGGTACTGAGCCCTACGTCCAGCCCTGTGCAATGTGGAAACATGGGCGATCCCTTTTGCTCCCCCAAGGAAGTGACTGAGATGCAAAGAAGCTGTGCAACCAGCCTCTGCCAGGGTCACAGAGCAAGGCAGCCACTGAGGCAGGATGCATACCCAGGCAGGTCTGACACCAAGGCCGGGGCTCCAGGGCTCCAGACCTGCAGCACCATTCCAAGTTGGCCACCTCAGCCTCAGGACTGATGGACAGTCCACCCTGAAAAAGTATGGGGTCTACAAAGGGCTTTGCCGTCAGCCCTGACTCGTGGCTGGGTTGGTATCCGCTGACCTGATGTGTGAAAGCCAGAACAGCGGTCAGGGCTGTCCCCTGTGAGAAAGTCAGTGGAACCATCTGTTCCTCTGTTGTGGGTTGAACTGTATCCCTCAAAAAGATATGATGAAGTCCTCACCCCCTGTTCCTGTGAACGTGACTTTATTTGAAAATACATCACATGAGGCCAGGAGTTTGAGACCAGCCTGGGAAATACAGTGAGACCACCCCCCACCAATTCTCTACAAAAAAATACAAAATAAAACTAGCCAGGCATGGTGGCACACACCTGTAGTCCCAGCTACTCTGGAGGCTGAGGTGGGAGGGTTGCTTGAGCCCAGGAGTTTGAGGCTGTGGTGAGCCAGGATCACACCACTGCACTCCAACCTGGGCAACAGAGCCTTTGTCTCTTAACAAAAAAAAAAAAAAAAAAAAAGGATATTTGCAGATGTAATCAAGTTAAAATAATGTCATTCAGTGGGCCCTAATCCAATCTGGCTGGTGGCTTTATAAGTGGAAATGGGACAGGTGCAGTGGCTCACACCTGTAATCCCAGCACTTTGGGAGCCCAAAGCGGGCAGATCACTTGAGATCAGGAATTTGAGACCAGGTTGGCCAACATGGCAAAACCCCATCTCTACTAAAAAATACAAAAATTAGCCAGGCGTGGTGGCACACACCTGTAGTCCCAGCTTCTCGGGAGGCTGAGGCACGAGAATCACTTGAATCTGGGAGGCGGAAGTTGCAGTGAGCCAAGATTGTGCCATTGCACTCCAGCCTGGGTGACAGAGTGAGACTCTGGCTCAAAAAAACAAACAAACAGCAAAGAAGTGGAAACGCCACGTGAGGACAGATGCACAAGGGGAATGCTATGTCACAACAGGCGGGGATTAGAGTGAAGCGACTGCAAGTCAAGGAGCATCAAGGTTTCAGGCCACCACCAGAAGCTAGGAAGAGGCAAGGCAAGGTTCTACCCAGTCTCAGAGGAAACCCAGCTCCGCCAATCCCTTGATTTCAGACATCCGGCCTCCAGACCTGTGAAAGGATACATTTCCCGTTGTTTTAAGCCACCCAGCAGTTTGTGGCACTTTGTTATGACAGCCCCAGGAAATTAACAGACTCTCTACGCCCCACCTCTGCGCTAGGTCCAGCCTCTCCACCTTGCCTGGATCCCCACCTGGCCTCTCTCCAGCAGACTCGCCCTTTCTTTTATTTCTTTTTCTCTTTCTTTCCCCATCTGGGCTCTGCCCACTCAGGATGCAACTGCTGATTTGCGAGCCCCCTGGAGTGGGCTCCTCTGGGACAGGGACCAGGACGCATTGGCACAATTGGCCTCCAGGGCTAGGCCAGTGCCTGGCACACAGTAGGCTTTTAATAAATGTTGAAAGACAGAGGAACACAAGATTAAAAATAGAAAGGAAGGAAGACAAGAAGGAGGGGGGACATGAAGGGGGGAAGGGAGAAGGAGAGAGGGCGGAGGGCCTTCCAGAGCCTATTTGTAACTGACAGGGGCCCCATTTCCCTGGCAAAGACAGCACATTACCCAATGCAGACGTGCACTGGAATGAGTTCAGTGGGTGAAAACCCGTGTGACACTGGAATGGGGCACAGACCAGGTAGTTTTGACAGTGACAGGTAGAGTCAGGGATCCTGGGTGATGCTTGCTCTGGGGCATCCCAGCTTCCATTGCCAGACTACCTTTGGTGAATCTTTTTTTTTTTTTTTTTTAGACAGAGTCTCGTTCTGTCGCTCAGGCTGGAGTGCAATGGCACGACCTCAGCTCACTGCAACCTCCACCTCTTGAGTTAAAGCACTTCTCCTTCAGCCTCCTGAGTAGCTTAGATTACAGGTGTGCACCACCACGCCTGGCTAATTTTTGTATTTTTGGTGGAGACGGGGTTTCACCGTTTGGCCAGGCTGGTCTCGAACTCCCGACCTCAGGTGATCCGCCCACGACCTCCCAAAGTGCTGGGGTTACAGGCGTGGTGAGCTTTTATTGAGCACCTACTGTGTACAATGCACCACAGTGGGTGCTGGAGTGGGAGTGTACCATAATGAACCAGACCCTCAAGGAGCCCAAGAGGGAGACCTGTGACATATCACAATTGCTGGAAGGATAGAAGACGACAGTGGGGTGTGGGATTTTAGGGGGCTGGGGATTTGCTTCCCAGCAACAACAACAACAACAAAAAACACATCAGAAAGGACATTGCCAAAGAGAAGGCATTTGAAGTAGGCCTTGTGGGAGGCAGAGGCTGAATACAGGGTGTTGCAAGAAAGGCATTCCAGGAAGAGGGAACAGCAAAAGAAAAAGCTGGAAAGAGAATGGAGAGGAGGCAAGGGACCTGGGATAAGGGAGAAAGGAAGGGGAAATTAGCTCAGGAGGGACCCAAAAGGGCCTTGAGTCTAGGCGAAGGCATCTACAGTTTTTAACTGAGGGTAACAAGGAGCCCAGGGAGGCTTTGGAGCAGAGGAGGGACTTACTCAGAAGCCAGCTTGAAGAAGATGGGCCAAGGCTGGGTGCGATGGCTCACTCCTGTAATCCCAGCACTTTGGGAGGCTAAGGTGGGCAGATCTCTTGAGGTCGAGAGTTCAAGACCAGCCTGGCCAACAAGGTGAAACCCTGTCTCTACTAAAAATACAAAAATTAACCATGTGTGGTGGCGTGCGCCTGTAATCCCAGATACTCGGGAGGCTGAGACAGGAGAATTGCTTGAACCTGGGAGGAGGAGGTTGCAGTGAGCCACTGCCCTCCAGCCTGGGCCACAGAGCAAGAAGACTCTGTCTCAAAAAATAAATACATAAAAATAAGGAAGAAGAAGAAGAAGATGGGCCAGAGGTGCTGGGAGCAGGGACCCAGTGGGAGGAGACAAGAGTAGGGGAGAGTTCCTGATTTTACCCCTTATGGCTCAAGCTCCAGCCTGCAGTGTGTGGGGTACTGGGGAGGCCCCACCCTGTAGAAGAGGCAGATCTGCTCATTGCCCTCTTCCAGGGCTAAGGGGGACTCTCCTGGGACTTAGTAAGGCCACCTATGTGCATGCCTCTGGCAGGAGCCAGGCATGTGGGATACAATGTCCTGAGTAAGCACCAGGTCCAGATAGTCCTGATTGTCACTTACTACATGGCTGTATGGCCCCAGGCATGCTGCTTCCCTCTTCCAGGCTCTGTCAGGTAGGGAAGAACAGTCTGGGGCTCAAGGAGCACATGAAGCCTTTGGACTAGAACTTGACATGGAGCCCAGCAAACGGTTTCTGATTAGAGCTAAAGCTGGTGATGTTCTGCCTGTATCACCTCAGCCTCACTACTCCCCAGCAGCAGCACCTGTGTTTCTCTGCCTAAGTACGCTCTCCAGCCTTCTGAATTGTGTGCACAGCAGGCCAGCAGTGCCAGCAGAATTGACAGCCCCTGGAGCAGCCCTCAACTGAAGACTGTCCCGAGATGCTGCATAAATACCCCAGCTCCCTCCCCACTCAGGCAAGGAAACGCTGATGGGCAGGTTCCCTGCTGTCTCCCAGAAGTCCCCA
Organism: Homo sapiens; assembly: GCF_000001405.40. Lineage (NCBI taxonomy): Eukaryota > Metazoa > Chordata > Mammalia > Primates > Hominidae > Homo > Homo sapiens. The sequence continues at coordinate 30,547,563 of NC_000022.11, read as the reverse complement.
CTGGGATTGAGCTCTTCTGTACTTCCTTGATAACCAGGCCTATACAGCTGCCTTCCGTTCTCTGTCTCATTTCCACACTTCCCTACTTGTGTTTCTCAGGACACCTCCCTAATAAACTTGCCCTGAACTCCTTGTTTCAGGGCAACCCAGACTACTACAAATAACTACTGTGTTCCAGGCCCCGTGCACACCGCGTGATCTCATGTGTCCTCACCTTGGGCTCTGGCTTTCTGCTTGTCCAGTGGGTGGTGGGGGCAGATGTAGCCAGGAGTCCCTCCTCACCTCTCATCCTGGCTCCCAGGCCAAGTGTGGCCCAGCTCAGGATTGCAAATCCACCTGTTTGGGTCTGGGCCTGGGAAGTTTCATCCTCAACCCTGAAGCCATGTGCCTTAACATCTGGGATGAATCATGGGCAGTTGCTCTGGACATGTCAGGTGGTAGATGAAGCCTGGGATGAGAGTGAAGGCATGATGACAGTGACTTCCGGGCCTCTGTTGGGGGTGAGAGATGACTTCTCCTGGCTCAAAGAGGCATCCGATGGGACCACAGGAGTAGAGGGTAGGGGACTGAGAGGCAGGGTGAACAGCCGCCTCCGTGTGTGTGTGAAATCAGGTGGTGTCAATTTCAACATGTCATCAACGCTCCGAGGAAACATCGCTGTCCTAATTTTGCAAGTGAGGATGTGAACCCAGGGCAGGCTGAATCCAGGGCCCCATGCCTGAGGCACCTAGTAAGGAATGAGCCCCACCTGTTGCCCTGAGGCTCACAGGAAGTAGTGGGATTTCTGGGTGGTGATAAATGTGGGCATGGCTACCAGCTGGCAAAAGGCAGGCCACCTGGAGGGAGCCACAGAGTGGAGCCTGGACCCATTCATGGGCAGCATGAGTGGACAAGTGGGTGACCTGAGCCCATCGCAGGAGAAGTCGCTGGCCCAGGTGAGTGAAGGGAGAGACTCCTACACCAGCCTCAGTTTCTCCTTCTGCCACGGGGAAGGGCAGGACTCAAGGTCCCTGAGTTTCTTCTGAACTCTCCAGCTCTGGGTCTCTTCCCAACCCTGAGGGGCTTGGTAGCCAGAGGCTACACCAGCACTAACCAATAGAAATACCACGCCACCACAAACGCAAGCCACATAGGTCATTTGAAATTTTCTTTCTTCCTTTTTTTTTTTTTTTTTTTTTTTGAGACGGAGTTTCGCTCTTGTTGCCCAGGTTGGAGTACAACGGCACAATCTTGGCTCACTGCAACTTCTGCCTTCTGGGTTCAAGCAATTCTCCTGCCCTAGCCTCCGGAGTAGCTGGGATTACAGGCACCTGCTACCACGCCTGGCTAATTTTTGTATGTTAGTAGAGATGGGGTTTTAACCACGTTGGTCAGGCTGGTCTGGAATTCCTGATCTCAGGTGATCCACCCACCTTGGCCTCCCAGAGTGCTGGGATTACAGGCATGAGCCACCATGCCCGGCCTTTTTGAAATTTTCTAGTAGCTCCATTAAAGAACTAAAAAGAGGCTGGGCGCTGTGGCTCATGCCTGTAATCCCAACACTTTGGGAGGCTGAGGTGGATGGATCATTTGAGGTCAGGAGTTTGAGACCAGCCTGGGCAACAGGGTGAAACCCTGTGGCAGGAGAATCGTTTGAACCCAGGAGGTGGAGGTTGCAGTGGGCCAAGATTCTGCCACTGCACTCCAGCCTGGGAGACAGAGCAAGACTATGTCTCAAAAACAAAACAAAAACAAAAACAAAACAAAACAAAACAAAAAAAACCTAAAAAGAAACAATTGAAGTAAAGTTTAATGATGTATTAACTTCAATATATAATCTAATCAATATAAAAACAACTGGTCTGGTGCAGTAGCTCGGGCCTATAATCCCCGCACTTTGAGGCGGGAGGATCACTGGAGCCCAGGAGTTCTGGCAACATAGCAAGAACACATCTTTACAAAAAATTAAAAAATTAGCAACATAGGGAGACCCCATCTCTAAAAACAACAACAACAACAACAAATAGCTGGGTGTGGTGGCCCATGCCTGTAGTCCCAGCTACTCGGGAGGCTGAGGTGGGAGGATGGATTGAGCCTAGGAGGTCGAGACTGCGGTGAGCCAACATCGTGCCACTGCACTCCAGCCTGGGCAACAGAGCTAGACCCTGTTTCAAAAAAAAAAAAAATGAGTGTTTTGAGGGGATACTGAGTCTTTGGAATCCTGTGTATTTTACACTCACAGCAGACCTCAGTTCAAACTAGCCACATTTTAAGAATTTGTGGCTACCATATTGGACAGGGCTGGTGAAGGCTGCTGGCCTGCTGGGGAGGCTGCATTGGCAGGTCACGTCCTCAGCTATGAGCTGGAGGAGGCAGGAACAGGGTGCATTTTCGTCTCTAGCCTGGGAGGAGTCCCTTGAAGGTCCTTAGGGTCTTTCCTTCGTGGTCGCACACGGCAAGCTTGGGGTCCAGGAAGACTCACACGGTTCCATGAGCATGGAGGCAACGACGGGTCCTTGGAGGTCTCGATTCCTGCCATCATAGGGTTTTGCATGGGGTAGGTGGTGTATGCGGGGTGGGAGGTGCCGGGATGGGGTTCCCGGGGCAAAGAAGGGTGGCGACCGGGCGCTGGAGTGGACTTTCTTTTTTTCACGTTGTTGTTGTTTTAAGAAAAAAACAAAACAAAACACCACAGATCAAGTTTTCTAACACCTCAGTTTCAAGATTGCACGTTTCACATTTCTCAGTAATTTACAGGCACCCACAGCGAGATGTTGCTTAGTGCTAGCTGGAGGGGCAAGCTCAGGTCTAGAAGGGAGAGATGCGTCCGGGTGGAGCAACACAGTTGGGCCCCAGGGAGTCTTGGAGGGACCTGAGGAAGCGGAGGGTTTTGTCTCCAGTCCTTTGGGAGGGATCCTCTCCTCCTCCAGGACTCATGGCTCTTTAGCCTAGGGATGGGGGAGGCCAGGACTGTTGGCAGCAACCTCACCAGGTCTGGATATGGGTTCCAGAGTTTTTTTCCAGCTTTTCCATGGAAGTGGTAGTTTGATCTAAAGGGGAAATCTTCCCCACTCAAGCCCCAGTTGAGGGGTGGTGGTGGTGGTGGTGGAGGTCAGGGGAGGTGGGATTTTCTCCTCCCCACCCTGGAAGATCAGGCTTCGGAGCATCGGGGAGGTAGTCAAGGGTCTTCAAAACCCACATGGTGATGGACGGAGGCACAAGAGTTCTTGGACCCCAGGCAGTTCTGGCCGCTTCCCAGGTCGGTTCCCTGGCTGGTTTGGCAACGTCAGCCTCCAGGTGTGTGGCAATGTGGGGAGAGGGGGCCGTGGCTGCTGGAGAGCCAAGGAGGGGTGGGGAGAGAAGAGCCACCCTGGCCCCTGGGTCCCAGAGCCTGCACCGCCCCAGCCCTCCGGGAACTGGGCTGGCTGTGCTCATCATGGCGGCTCCTTGTGGGACAAGGAAGAGCATGGAGATGGGTGCTAGAGCAAACCACGGTCCCATTCACTTCCTCGGGACCTGGATGCTGGCATACTCTGAGAAGGACAGCTCGGGCTTGGGGGCCAGCTGCTTGGGGGTCCGGTTGAGGTGCACCATGTCCAGGTCAGCATAGGTGAGGGTGTCCTCCGACGCAGGCTGCAGGCTGGTCTGAATGCTGGCATACTCTGTGTGGTTGTTGGGCTCCGCGGCCCGGGGAGCAGGCTTCTTCCCCTTGGGCAGGTTCAGGTCCGCATATGTGATATCATTTGTGTCCTGGGTTATTTTTCTGGCATTCTTCTCGGGTTCATGCAACCTTGTAGAAGAAGTGGAGCCCTGGGCTTTCTTCTGTCTGATTCGGACGAGGTAGAGAGCCTCCATCAGTAGGGCCACCAGCAAGGTGCACACCACGCCCACCACAATATAGATGTTCTGTTCATTAGGTCCAGTGTTCTCAGCGGCGGTATTTGAGCTCTGCTCCTTCAGGTGGGCTGAGACCTTCAGGTCATGGCTTTTGCTGACCGCTGACTGCCCGTCATGCTCCACCTGGCAGGTGAGCTTCACATCATCCCTGTGGGCAGATACATTCACCAGGAGCCAGCTCATCCAGTTGTAGGTGCCATCCTTGTTCTCTGTAAGAGTTGAGGCCGTTTCTGTCCGGGACACATTGCCGTTCTCCAACCAGGTCAACTGTAGTCTCTGGGGGTAGAATTTCGTCACCTGGCAGGTGATATTCACCTGGTTCTCTGCCCTCATGGGCTGTTGAGTAACCTCCAAGGTGGGTGGAACTTGGATAGTCTCAGACAAGTTGGCAGTCCCACGAAAAGAGTCCCCCCGCAAGGTGACGTGGGCCACCTCGCAGATGACTTGAGAGTGAATGTCCCCGCGGGTCAGCACCACATTGGCTGTGCTGTGGATGCTGTAGGACACGCTCTCTCTTGCGGGGTCCACGTTGGTCTGGAAGTCTGAGAGCTGATTCCCATTTTTGAACCATTTCAGGCTGATGTCTCTGGGTGAGAAGCCATGAGACTCGCAGGTGAAGCTCACTGTGTGGTCAGGTGTGGCCCTCGCTGCGGGGCCCGATACCACGGGGGCAGAGGGTTTGGCACGCACAGACAGCTCAGTGCCTGCTCCAGACTTCAACTCCACGTCAGGGCTCCCTTTCTGGAACTTCACACAGTAGTAGGTGCCGGCATCTGCTGGGGTGATGTTACTGATGCAGATGGAAAAGTCCATGTTGGTTCTCTTTGTGAGATCTGAAACAGTTGTTACCCGGGGGAAGTGGCCTTCTTTTTGATGGTAGATTAATTTCCGGCCTGGTCCAGCTCCTCTGAACCGTTGGATGGGCCCCACAGGGTTCAGGGAGGTCACAGTGCACTGCAGAGCGGCCGACTCTCCAGCTGCAACTGATACAGACTTCTCAGGCTGAATCACCTGCAGCTCCTCCTCACCCGCCACTCCTGACCAGGCGCAGGACGCGGGGAGCAGCAGGCAGAGCAGCGGCCCGAGGCGGCCGGGGACCGGCCCGCGGGCTCCATGGGCCGCGGCTACGCCGCCCGCGAGGGCTGGAAGGCACTAGAAGCGCCGCCGGGGCTGCCCAGAGGCCGGGTCCCCGCTCCACTTTGCGCAAACTTGTTTTTCTGAGGTCAGCGCTGCGAGCTGGCTACATCGTCCTCTTAAGGTGGCCTGGGGAAGTTGCGGCCGACCTCCCCTCGCCTCCGGACTCCGGCCGCGCGGCTACTCCCGCTTCCCACTGGCGAGAGGCTGGAGGCGGCGAAGGAGTCGGGGAGTGGAGGCGCGGGGGTGGGGGGGTGTCTGCCTTTTAACCCTCCCCAAGAGGTCGTGCCTCTGAGCCCCAAAGCTGAAGGCCCCTCTTGGGGGTGGGTGCGGGCCGGAGGGGACCGATCCTTTCAGAGCCGTGCCGAGGTGAAGGAAAAGCTGGAGTGGACTTTCTGGTAGGGTCGCGAGACGGATGGGGAGGGTCGCGGTGTGGGCAGGGTGGGGCCCAGGTCCAGGCTGGGGACGGGGTCTGAGCCGGGCGTCCCCGCCCACCGGCCTGCCCTTTCGCGTCCTGCCCTTCGGTGCCAAGAACAGGCACAATTTCTCCTGTGCCTGTTCTTGGTTTTCTTCCTCAAGGTAGTGTGTGTAAAGCTGTGTGTTGGTAACTTGACCCATTTCCTTAGAAAATGGCTGAATGTGTTGCTGATGTATAGCAATACCAGATAATTTGTTTTTTGTCCATGAGAGTGAACAGGAAATTTATTTATTCATTTATTTGGAGACAGGGTCTCACTCTATCACCTAGGCTGGAGTGTAGTGGTGAGAACATGGCTGACTGCAGCCTCAAACTCCTGGGCTCAAGCAACCCTCCCACCTCAGCCTCCTGAGTAGCTGGGACTACAGGCACGCACACCACACCCAGCTAATTTTTAACTTTTTTTTTTTTCTTTTTTGAGATGGAGTCTGGCTCTGTCACCCAGGCTGGAGTGCAGTGATGTGATCTTGGCTCACTTCAGCCTCTGCCTACCAGGTTCAAATGACTCTCTGCCTCAGCGTCCTGAGTAGCTGGGATCACAGGCGTGTGCCACCATACCTGGCTAATCTTTGTATTTTTAGTAGAGACGGGGTTTTGCCATGTTGGCCAGACTAGTCTCGAACTCCTGGCCTCAAGTGATCCACCCACCTCGGCTTCCCAAAGTATTGGGATTACAGGCGTGAGCCACTCCTATCAGCCAGAACAGTTTTTATTTCTCTTTGATGAAAAGCAATTAAACACCATTCATACCTTAATAAAGCTGGGAGGGGAGTATGATTAAAATCTAGCTTAAGGATGATTGTGGCCTTTAGAAGTTGTGTTTCTTAGTATCCAAGAAGATGATTATAAAAATAAAATTAAAAAATAAATAAAAATTTTTTTAAAAGTTGTGTTTCTTGAATTGTATGAATCTTTTAAAAAGAAAACAAAGTATAAACAAAGCTAGGGGAAAAGTCTTACAAGTTGTTCAAGTGTGAATTCGCATCTGATTATATCCCCATAAAGCTGTTAGTTTTAATTAAAAAAAAGTTCAAGTAATTGAATTTTTTTTTTTTTTGAGATGTAGTCTCACCCTGTTGCCCAGGCTGGAGTGCAGTGGTGCAATCTCAGCTCACTGCAGCCTCCGCTCTCTGGGTTCAAGCAATTCTTGTGCCTCAGCCTCCTGAGTAGCTTTGATTACAGGCGCCTGCCACCACGCCCAGCTAATTTTTGTATTTTTAGTAGAGATGGGGTTTCACCGTGTTGGCAAGGCTGATCTCGAACTCCTGGCCTCAAGTGATCTGCCCGCCTTGGCCTCCCAAAGTTCTGGGATTACAGGTATGAGCCACTGCACCCAGCCAATTGATTTTTTTTTTTTTTTGAGACAGGGTCTTGATTTATTGCCCAGGCTGGAGTGCAGTGACATGATCTCAGCTCACTGCAATCTGTGCCTCCTGGGTTCAAGCGATTCTCCCACCACAGCCTCCCAAGTAGCTGGGACTACAGGCGTGCGCCACCACACCTGGCTAATTATTGTATTTTTTGTGGTAATGAGGTTTCACCTTGATGCCCAGGGTGGTCTCAAACTCCTGAGCTCAAGCAATCCACCTGCCTCGGCTGGCCAAAGTGCTGGGATTACAGGTGTGAGCCACCTCACCTGGCCAAGTAATTGATCTTAATGCCCATGAGTTCAAAATACAATACTCAAAAAAAAAAAAAAAAAAAAAAAGGAACAAAAAGGAGGGGCAGTGTTCTGCATCAGGAAAAGGACATTCTGCTTAGACCTGAGATAACCCTCTTAAAAGACAATTGAAGTCAGAAATTGAAATAAAAATTGCTCATGTTGGCTAAGAAGGCGCATCACCATTTCCAGCCTCAGTTTCCTCACTTAGCGAATTGGTATAATGGCAGTGTCATGTCAGGATTCATTTAAGGCTTAGCCCAAGGCCAAACCCTCTTTCATATTCCTTTAGACAAAGGTTATCAGTCCATTTTTGGTGGGGGGCCAAGGAAAGTCTTTTGAGGATCCATCTGGGGCCCAAAGAGAATAAGACCCAGAGAGAGGGGAGTGACTCAGGCAAGGCCACAGTGGGACCTGCTGACTCTTTGTCCGGTGCTCTTTTCCTTACCATATTCATCAGTGTTGGAGGCTGGCTTTAGCCTACAGTCAATGACATCCACCCAGGAGTGGCCTCTCAGCTCTCAGACCCTGCAGGGTGGGCCCAGGGCCAGCTGAACTGTCCTAACCAACTCCCAGGCCAGGTCAAGCCACCCCTCACTTGGGCGTGGCTGATGGGTGCCAAACCATGTCTTTACATTGAAGGCTTCTAAGTCACAGTCCATCATTTCAACCCTAACCTATCAGGTACACAGCTCAGCCCTGCTTAAGTGTGGGAGGGAACGGTCAAAGACAAAATTAAGACAAATTCAGTTTAAAGATCTCAATTATCTTTATTGCAATTCTAGAATCAGGCAACTGGCTCTGCCACTCACTGGCTGTGTGACACTAGGCAAGTTGCTCAACCTCTCTGAGCCTCAGACTCTGTGCACTTTATCCTCCCACCTGACCTGGCCTGAAGGCTTCCTAAGGATGAAGATCAGGGCACTAAAGAGGGCCCCTCCCTGCCCCCACATCCCTGAGTCAGGCTTGTAAAGCTTCTCTGTGTTTAATCCACATTTAATTCTCTCTGATGTTTAGTGTAGTAGGTTCTTTTTTTTTGAGACAAAGTCTCACTCTTGTCCCCCAGGCTGGAGTGCAATGGTGGGATCTCGGCTCACTGCAACCTCCGCCTCCTGGGTTTAAGCGATTCTCCTGCCTCAGCCTCCTGAGTAGCTGGGATTACAGGCACCTGCCACCACGCCCGGCTAATTTTTGTATTTTTAGTACAGACAGGGTTTCACCATGTTGGCCAGGCTGGTCTCAAACTCCTGACCTCAGGTGATCCTCCCACCTCTGCCTCCCAAAGTGCTGGGATTACAGGCGTGAGCCACCGCGCCTGGCCTGTAGTTGGTTCTTTATATCATCCCATTTTCAAGACGGAGGAAACAAACTGTTATGGCTTGACCCGGACCCTGATCCTCCCAGCCCGAGTGGGACCTCTTCACTCAGACATCCCCTTCCTCAAGGACAGTTGAGACCTGCAGGACCGAGGGTGGTTGGCCTCTGACCCAGGTCTCTCCCTGTCTGTCCTCAGTTCCGGGAGAACATCCAAGATGTGCTATCTGCGCTGCCCAATCCTGATGACTACTTCCTCCTGCGCTGGCTCCAAGGTAAGGATAGAGCGTGGGGCTGGGGTAGGGTCAATGGCATGAAAGAGGAGTGTATTTGGTATCTATTGAGTGTATCAAATTACTCCAAAACATAGCCATTTAAAACAACTGCAAACATTTATTATCTCTCGTGATTTCTGTGGCCAGGAATTATGGAAAGGCTTAGTGGGGTGTTTCTGACTCAGGGTCTCTCATGAGGTTGCAGTCAAGATACCCATCGGGGATGCAGTCATCTGAAGGTTTGATTGGGACAGGAGGATCTGCTTCCAAGGTGTCAAACATAGTTGGCAAGTCTGTGCTCGCTGTTGGCAGGAGGCTTCAGTTCTTCCTCACAGGGCCTGCTCAAGCATCCTCACAACATGGCAGTTGGCTTCCCGCCATAAGTGATCCCAGTGAGCAGGGAGGAAGTGGTGGTATCTTACAGTGAAGCTTTCTGAGTCACATTCCATCATTTCTTTTTTCTTTTCTTTCTTTCTTTTTTTTTTTTTTTTGTTGAGACGGAGTCCCACTCTGTTGCCCAGGCTGGAGTGCAGTGGCGTGATCTCGGCTCACTGCAACCTCCGCCTCTCAGATTCAAGCAATTCTTGTGCCTCAGCCTCCCGAGTAGTTAGGATTCATGTGCCACCATGCCCAGCTAATTTTTGTATTTTTAGCAGACAGGGTTTCCTCATGTTAGCCAGGCTGGTCTCAAACTCCCGACCTCAGATGATCCACCTGTCTTGGCCTCCCAAAGTGCTGGGATTACAGGCATGAGCCATCTCGTCTGGCCAAATTCCATCATTTCTACAGCAATCTATCAGGTACACAGCTCAGCCCTGCTCAGTGTGGGAGGGAACTGTCAAAGACAGAATAATGACACATTTGGTTTAAAGATTTCAATTATCTCTATTGGAATTCTAGAATCAGGCAACATTTCATGTTATGAGATAGAATAAGTGCTCCGATGAGTCAAGCAGAGGAGTTTGGCTTTATAGACAGAAAAGGGGCTGAAGAAAGCAGAAACAGAACAAAAGGCAGATCTATCATTTCAAAGCTACAGTACTTTTCTGGTAAGGCAAGGACAGGGATACAGAACAATAGAAAGATAACTGATTGGTTAACATCAGGTGACTTCAGGTTACTCTTTGCTGTAAGGCTAAAAACAGAGAGAACTTCATTAACATACCAGCTGAAGATTGTAATTGGCCTGTTAGGGAAATTAGGCTTGCTCGCTCGCTCTCTCTCAAACAAGGTCTCACTCTGAAGCCCAGGCTGACATCAGCTCACTGTAGCCTTGACCTCCTGGGCTCAAGCGATACTCCCACGTCAGCCTCCCTAGTAGCTGGGACTATAGGAGCTCGGCACCACGCCTGGCTAATTTTTGTGTATATTTTTTGCAGAGACAGGGTTTCGCCATGTTGCTCAGGCTGGTCTAGAACTCCTGGACTCCAGTAATCCACCTCCCTCAGCTTCCCAAAGTGCTGGGATTACAGGCATGAGCCACCGTGCCTGGCTAGGCTATCTCTCTTGATTTCTCAAGTCAGATAACAACTCAGTTTCAGTTTAGCGAGCATGGGTGACTCCATCTTGATTTTTGGTCTTGTCTGTTGGGACCTAGTGCTGGAGTTTAGTACAAAGCAATGGCCTCCTATGATTTTTGTTTAGCAGAGCAGGGAGTGAATACTAGGTGAGGATCACTGATGGTCATCTTGGAGGTGGCTAGTACAAGGAGTGGAAATACTTTCATATTTTGAGCACTTATTCTGTACCAGGCACTGGGTACAGCAGTTTTTATGTATTATTTCCTTTTTTTTTTTTTTTTTTTTGAGTCAGAGTCTCACTGTCACCCAGGCTGGAGTGCAGTGGCAGAATCTTGGCTCACTGTAACCTCCGCCTCCTGGGCTCAAGTGATTCTCCTGCCTCAGCCTCCTGAGTAGCTGGGTTTACAGGTGCCCGCCACCACAACTAGCTAATTTTTGTTTTTTAGTAGAGATGGGGTTTCACCATGTTAGCGAGGCTGGTCTCGAACTCCTGACCTCAAGTGATCCACCTGCCTCAGCCTCCCAAAGTGCTGGGATTACAGGTGTGAGCCACTGTGCCCGGCCATTTATCTATTATTTTCTTTCTTCTCTTTCCCTCCTCCTCCTCCTTGTTCAACCCAATTAGGTAGGTATTATTGTTAGCTTTGTTTTTGCATTGGAGGAAGCTGTGGCTTACAAAGGTTAAACCACTTGACCAAGGTCGCTATGCTAGCAGGTGACAAAGTCAGGTCAGTCTGACATTAGAGGCCAATTGCTTAACATCTTCTCATAAAAAGAGTTTGGGGACCAGGTTAGGGAAGAGGTTTGCTCTTGAGATAAATGTCAGAATCCCAGGAATCTGAATGCACAGACAGGATTCTCAGTGGCCCTGAAAATGTGGCTGCAACTCCTACACTTAAGACTCCTTCCCTGGGGGGTTCGTAGGGGGTGGGCGGTAGGGCTGGAGTCGGTTTCAGCTGCAGTAAGAAAACCACTATGAAACCATGTTGATCATCACACCTGCTCCTACTATTGCAGAGTACACAGGAATTCACATCCCTGAATGTTGAGCCCAGAATACTTAATCTGTGATGAATAGCCTTTGTAAAACCTGTGATGGCAACTTGCCTCTGAGCCTGGTGTGTACTTTATGTAACTTATGACAAGGCTGGGCTAGGGGTCTCACACCTGTAATCCCAACACTTTTGGAGGCCGAGGAAGGAGGATTGATTGAGTCCAGGAATTTGAGACCAGCCTGGGCAACATAGGGAGACCTCATCTCTACAAAAAAAATTTTAAAACTTAGCCAGACCTGGTGGCACACCTGTGGTTCCAGCCACTCAGGAGGCTGTGGGAGAATGACTTGAGCCCAGGAGTTTGAGACTAGCCTGGACAACATGGCAAAACCCCATCTCTACAAAAAAAAAAAAAAAAAAAAAACACAAAAAACTTAGCCAGGCGTGGTGTTGCCTGCCTGTGTTCCCAGCTACTGGGGAGGCTGAGGTAGGAGGATCACTTGAGCCTGGGAAGTTGAGGTTGCAGTAAGCTATGGTTGTGCCACTGCACTCCAGCCTGGGTGACAGAGCAAAACCTTGTCTCAAAAACAAATAAACAAACAAAAGCTATGACATAGTAGCCAACAGGGTTTCCTAGCTCATCTTTGCTCAGTACCATTTCTTCTAACTAGAATGTCTTTAAACTGCCACCAAATCAAAAAAGAGTCCCGATTGGAGTTCCAAAGACAGGCGTCTAGTCCCCGCTCTGCCTCTTACTAGCAGCATGAGACCTGGGGCCTATGGCCCCCTTCTGTTGGGCCCTCAGTTTCCTCATCTGTTTATAGGGAACAAGACTCTCTCCCCGCCACTGGCAGCTTTCATGGTTGTTATGATGCCCAGATGAAATCAATGTGAGAACTACTCCCCAAGGCCCTGGGGACCAAGTGAAACCACTTGGTTCTCACCAGCCAGAGGCTCTCAGCAGAAGTGCTGCTGCAAAGCCAGTGAGCCAATGGACCAGGCTGACTCTTAGAAAGCTGGGTGACAGCCCAGCTAAGGCTGGGCTCAGGGCAGAGGACTGCTTTGACAGCCTGCTGGGGCCGCTAGGACCTCACTCCCATTTGTTTATAACATCCACTGGGTGTTTTTCTGATTATGAAATCAGAGCCCATTTATCATGGAAAATCTGGAAGGTATAGAAAAAGAAAAACAAAATGATATTTCTATAAATCACCCATAATCTCACCATGGCCATTAGGCAAACTTATATATAATTTTTCTTTTCTTTTTTTTTTCTTTTTATAGGGACAGAGTCTCACTATGTTGCCTAGGCTGGTCTCGAACCCCTAGGCTCAAGCAATGTCACTGCAACCTCCACCTCCTGGGTTCAAGTGATTCTCCTGCCTCAGCCTCCCAAGTAGCTGGGATTACAGGTGCCCACCACCATGCCCAGCTAATTTTTGTACTTTTAGTACAGACGAGATTTCACTATGTTGTCCAGGCTGGTCTCGAACTCCTGACCTCAGGTGATCTGCCCACCTTGGCCTCCAAAAATGCTGGGATTATAGGCATGAGCCATAGTTCCCAGATGAGTTTGGTGATTTTTTTAAAGAGTATTAAGGGGGCTGGGCACAGTGGCTCACACCTTTAATCCCAGCATTCTGGGGGGTGAGGCAGGCGGATCATTTGAGGTAAGGAGTTCGAGACCAGCCTGACCAACATGGTGAAACCCCATCTCTACTAAAATACAAAAATTAGCCAGGCGTGGTGGTGGGTGCCTGTAATCTCAGCTACTCAGGAGACTGAGGCAGGAGAATCACTTGAACCCGGGAGGCAGAGGTTGCAGTGAGCCAAGATCATGCCACTGCACTCCAGCCTGGGTGACAGAGGGAGACTCCTTCTCAAAAAAAAAAAAAAATTTTTTTTAAGTAAAAATTAAAGAGTATTAAGGGCTCCTGAGGCCAAAATGTTTGTGATCTGCTGATTTAAACAATTCTCAGCCTTATGATTCTGACAGATTCTGAGGGTCTGCTGTCTCAATGACTTTTCTGGAACAACAGGAAAAGGGCCCCAAGGCCCACCAAGGGGCATGCCCAGGGAATCAAGGAGCCTGTGTCCAGTGTTCCTGGGTCTCCGGATATCTCAGCCATTGTGGCTCCCCAGGTCAAGAACAAGGCCCTCTGGGTAACAGGAGACAAAGCTGGCCTGGAGGGTGGGGCAGGGCCGTTGTCTCTCCAGAAGCCTGGAGTGAGCCTCTAGAATTCCACAACCATAACCCTGTCTCTTGTTGCAGCTCGGAGCTTTGACCTGCAGAAATCAGAGGACATGCTGAGGAAGGTGAGGTTGACACCTCCCCCTGCCTAGCCTGGTCCTGTTTCCTATCCCAAGTCTGAGGCACAAATTTATTCATTCATTCATCCATCCATTCATTCATTCATGGAACACCCATTCATTGAGACTGGAAGGTAAACCTGGCCTGGTGCTAGGCGCTGGGGAGACTGCCGTGATGGGAAGAGAGAAAAAGAAACCAGAGGAACAAAGAAGACAATTCCTGAGAATGGAAAGTACAATGAAGACAGCAAAACAGGGAAGGAGGGAAGAGAGGTCAGGGACATTTCAGCAGGGACATGAATGCCCAAAAGGAAGCAAGCATGTGAAGATCAGGGTGAAGAGCACAGCTCATGCAAAGGCCCTGAGGTGGGAATGAGCTGGTGTATTCTTTTTTTTTTTTTTTGAGACAGTCTTGCTCTGTCACCCAGGCTGGAGTATAATGACGTGATCTTAGCTCACTGCAACCTCCGCCTCCCAGGTTTAAGCAATTCTCCTGCCTCAGCCTCCCAAGTAGCTGGGATTACAGGCATGCACTACCACACCCAGCTAATTTTTGTATTTTTAGTAGAGACAGGGTTTCACCATGTTGGCCAGGCTGGTCTTGAACTCCTGACCTCGGGTGATCCACCCACCTTGGCCTCCCAAAATGCTGGGATTACAGGCGTGAGACATTGTGCCTGGCCTGAGCTGGTATATTCTAGGAGCACACGGAGATCGTGTTGGAGAGAGAAGGGGAAGTGATGAGGTTACAGGGTGGCCCCAACACATCAGCCAGGCTCTGCAGGCCTTGTAGGGGGGTATAGGTTTTTGCTTAAGGGCAACTGGAAGTCAGGAAGTAGAGTCTGACTCCCAGGGCAGCCATGCGGGAGGGGGCATGGGAAACATCTGGAAGGATGCAGGGGGAGACAGCTGCAGAGTGCAGGCCTCCCCTGTCCCTTTCTAGGTCTCTCCTGGCCTCTCAGATGCATGTCCCCTTCCATCCCCATCCTGTTTCCATCCCCCAGTTCTATGTCAGTGGAGCCTGGGGATGCTCTGGCAGGCCCTTAGTGGTTGCAGGCAGAGGGACCTGGCCTGGTGTCCCCAGGTATCCACAGAGGTCTTTGGGACAGGCAGAATCTTCACCACCTCCTGCCGTGTCTCTGCAGCATATGGAGTTCCGGAAGCAACAAGACCTGGCCAACATCCTTGCCTGGCAGCCCCCAGAGGTGAGCATCTCTCAAACCCATACCCTGATCCCTGGGCCCTCAGCCCTCGGCACTGAACCCCCGTCTCCTGTGTATGCATCCAGGTGGTCAGGCTGTACAACGCTAACGGCATATGCGGCCACGACGGTGAGGGCAGCCCTGTCTGGTACCACATTGTGGGAAGCCTGGACCCCAAAGGCCTCTTGCTCTCAGCCTCCAAACAGGAGTTGCTCAGGGACAGCTTCCGGAGCTGCGAGCTGCTCCTGCGGGAGTGTGAGCTGCAGAGTCAGAAGGTGTGTGGGTGCCACCCTGGGCAGCTGCAGCCGGACACAGCACCCTCACCCCCTGAGCCTCACACCCAGAATCTGCCTTCCTGGGCTCCTGGGCTCCTCGGCTCCTCCTGGTACTGTGGAGTGAATGCAGGTTCAGAGAGGCCAAGGACCCACCCAAGGCCACACAGTATGTGGCTGAACTGGGAATCATTTCTCCCCCAATTGGCCCCAAAGCCCACTCAATCCACTGGGCCACACTGCCCTCTGCAGCCTCATTGGACGAGAGGGACAGGGATTTCAGCCCCACTGGACCGAAGAGGGAACTGCAACACAGCGATTTGGCCTCCCATGGACAGACACAAAGAGGTCGGTCCTTGGGTCACTCCGGTCCTGGCATCCTGTGGGATGGCCCCTTCCCTCCCCCATCTCTGTGCCATGCAGAGCTGAGACAAGCCAGGCCAGTGCCCTGGGCTTAGGCCCAGCCCCATCTTGGATGGGTGGGGGCAGTGGCCCTCACAGGGTCTCACCCCCTGTCATTCCCTTGCAGCTGGGGAAGAGGGTGGAGAAAATCATAGCTATTTTTGGTCTCGAAGGGCTGGGCCTGAGGGATCTGTGGAAGCCAGGAATAGAGCTTCTCCAGGAGGTGAGGTGACCCCGCCAGGGGCATGGGTGGGTGGTCAAATGCCTGGGTCTTTACCCTCCACTTGCTGGTGTGGGGCAGGGGCGGGAATCCTCTCTCCTCACTGCCAGGTGAGTACCCGCCCACAGGTACTGCCCACAAGAGCTGCACAGGCCATGTTTGCAGCTCTTACTTTTTTTTTGAAATGGAGTTTCGCTCTTGTTGCCCAGACTAGAGTGCAATGGCGTGATCTCGGCTCACTACAACCTTCACCTCCCGGGTTCAAGCAATTCTTCTGCCTCAGCCTCCCGAGTAGCTGCGATTGCAGACATGCGCCACCATGCCTGGCTAATTTTGTATTTTTAGTAGAGATGGGGTTTCTCCATGTTGATCAGGCTGGTCTCGAACTCCCAACCTCAGGTGATCTGCCCGCCTTGGCCTCCCAAAGTGCTGGGATTACAGGCGTGAGCCACTGTGCCTGGCCCGTTTTTTTTTTCTTTTCTTTTCTTTTCTTTTTTTTGAGACAGAGTCTTGCTCTGTCACCCAGGTTGGAGTCAAGTGGTGTGATCTCGGCTCACTGCAAACTCCACCTGCCAGGTTCAAGCAACTCTCCTGCCTCAGCCTTCGGAGTAGCTGGGATTAAGGCGCCTGCCACCACGCCCGGCTAATTTTTGTATTTTTAGTAGAGAGGGGGTTTCACCATGTTGGCCAGGTTGGTCCTGAACTCCTGACCTCAGGTGATCTGCCTGCCTTACCCTCCCAAAGTGCTGGGATTATAGGTGTGAACCGCCGCACCTGGCCTACAGTTCCTTACTTTTGTTGGCAGGGATATTTTCATACCCACAGCTTCTCGGGGCTGTGCTAAGTTGGGCGTGGCACCCCCAGGTCACCATCTCATGTTCAGCAGGTCACAACAGGGCCCGATTCCCTGACCTGCCAATGTCCCTGTGGATGTCCCTGTCCTCATATTCTGGCTCTGCTCACTCTCATCCCACCCCTGATCTCTGCCCTCACCCCCAATACCTGCCTACCCTTCTGCTTCCAGCCCCTGACCTTCCTTTTTGCCATTTCCTCTGGGAAGGGCTGAGAGTAGGTCATCTGGGAGTGCTGCAGTAGGAGGGAAGCTGTGGGGAGGCCTGGGCCGCAGGGCAGCCAGCCTACCTGTTCCTTTCTTTCTGTTTCACCCAGGACAGCAAAGAACTTAAACATAAAAAATGTTATTGGCCACCAGGCACAGTGGCTTATATCTGTAAAGCCAACATTTTGGGAGGCTGAGGCAGGAGGATCGCTTGAGCTCGGGAATTTAAGACCAGCCTGGTCTTGAACATAGCAAGACCCTATCTCTACAAAATAAGAGTATTCGCTGGGCGTAGTGGTGTGTGGGGGTGGTCTCAGCTACTTGGGAGGCTAAGGTGGGATGATCGTTTGAGCCCAGAAACTCGAGGTTGCAGTGAGTTGAGATCGCGCCACTGCACTCCAGCCTGGGATGTAAATTATATCTCAGTTTTTTTGTTTTCTTTTGTTTTTTGAGACGGAGTCTCACTCTGTTGCCCAGGCTAGAGTGCAGTGGCTCACTGCAGCCTCCGCCTAACGGGTTCAAGTGATGCTCCTGCCTCAGCCTCCCAAGTAGCTGGGATTACAGGTGCCCGCCACCACGCCCAACTAATTTTTGTATTTTTAGTAGGGAGGGGGTTTCACCATGTTGCCCTGCCTGGTCTCGAACTCGTGACCTCATGATCCTCCCACTTTGGCCTCCCAAAGTGCTTTGGGATTACAGGCGTGAGCCACCACGCCCGGACAATATCTCAGTTTTTTTAAAAAAAACCATTCCCTATTTGCAGTGTCTCTTATAAACAAATGTAATGGGGCCTATTGGGACTCATTTGTAGGAATCAAATATCCTTTCATACAGTGTAGACTTATTCTTGGCAAGAATGTTTTACTGTCTAACCAAGAATTTTAATTGGTTTATCTTATTTAAAATTTTAAAAGTAAGTAAATAAAAATAAAAAGCCATTCCTTGCAACTATGTATATTATGCTAAAAGAAAGTCTCTCTCATTCCTGAAGCTGAACTATTGTCTGACTCACGTGGGAGGGAACCTTCCACAGTCGTGAATGGGATTTTTCTTGCCTGTCATGAATAGAGTTATCCCCCCACTCATCTGTCAAGAATCGGCACTAGGCCAGGTGCGGTGGCTCACACCTGTAATCCCAGCACCTTGGGAGGCTGAGGTGGGAGGATCACTTGAGCCCAGGAGTTCAAGACCAGCCTGGGCAATATAGCAAGACCCCATCTCTAGAAAATAAAATAAGAAATAAAAATAATAATAAAAAGAATCTGCACTAGCTGCTTCAAGGAAGGTCTATGACTAGGATCCAACAAACCAGAAGTGGCAGCTTCTCTGTGTCTGGGTGGGTTCTTGGTGTCTGGGCATCGGGAGCCGTCTGCATCAAAGCCTTGGATGGTTGGCATTCGAGGCCAAGGCTGTGCCCTTGGGTCCTGGAGGGTGGGGCGAGAGGGGATGCAAGGGGACAGTGTTCAGACGCCCATCACTTCTGCCACTTGGTTCCGCAGTTTTTCTCAGCACTTGAAGCAAATTACCCTGAGATCTTGAAGAGTTTAATTGTTGTGAGAGGTGAGTAAAGCAGCCCAGGATATGCATGAGTTGGGGGGACAGGGGATGTGCGGTGACCGGGTGGGCACCTGAGACCCCAGCCAGCCGCCTGAGGGAGCAGTTCTGTGCCTGGTTTCAGCCCCCAAGCTATTCGCCGTAGCCTTCAACCTGGTCAAGTCTTACATGAGTGAAGAGACACGCAGGAAGGTGGTGATTCTCGGAGGTGAGTGAGCCCTCTGCGGCCTCTTTTCCAGCCTGGATCCTGAGCTGAGGGTGGTCCTTCTCACAGATCTGATGGTTCCTGCATCCGAAGGTGTAGGGCACCCAACTGGTGTTGAGGGCCCACTGCCTGGTGGGCTGCCAGGTGGGCTGCTGTGCCTGCCCCCGAGAGGGAAGACGGGCCAGGAAGGGTCTCAGAGATTCCTGGAGGTAGCATGGGTAGAGATCCCGATTTGAGGTTAGGAGAGCTGGATTTGAGAGTTGGCCTTGCCAGTTATTAGCTGCAAGCGGAGTGAGTCACTCAGCTGCTCTGTCTTGGTCTTGGTTTCCTCATCTGTTTAATGGGGGGAATTAGATCCGGATCTTTGGCGGCACACAGTGGCTCATGCCTGTAATCCCAGCACTTTGGGAGGCCGAGACAGGAAGATTGCTTGAGCTCAGGAGTTGGAGACTAGCTTGGGAAACATAATGAGACCCTGTCTCTACAATAAATAAATAAATTAGCCAGGCATGGTGGTGCACACCTATAGTCCCAGCTACTCTGGAAGCTGATGTGGGAGGATTACTGGAGTCCAGGAGGTTGAGGCAACAGTGAGCTGAGAACACGCCACTAAACTCCAGCTTGAGTGACAGAGTGCGACCCTATCTCAAAAAAAAAAAAAAAAAAAGAGGCCGAGCGCGGTGGTTCACGCCTCTAATCCCAGCACTTTGGGAGGCCGAGGTGGGTGGATCACGAGGTCTGGAGTTCAAGACCAGCCTGGACAATATGGTGAAACCCCGTCTCTACTAAAAATAAAAAAAATTAGCCGGGCGTGGTGGCAGGAGCCTGTAATCCCAGCTACTCGGGAGGCTGAGGCAGGGAACTGCTTGAACCCGGGAAGCGGAGGTTGCAGTGAGCTGAGATCGCGCCAGTGCACTCCAGCCTGGGTGACAGAGCTAGACTTTGTCTCAAAAAAAAAAAAAAAAAAAAAGAAATCTAGGTTTTCCAAATTATATAAGCAATACAGTTTAGAAATTTGTAAAGTACAGAAATGTATAAGGAAGGGGGGAATATCCTGTCACCCAGCGAACTACAATTAACACTATCTTTTTCAGAGAAATATATTTTCCAAAAAAAAATGGGTTCATACCATACATATACCCTTTTGTAACTACTTATCATATGATAATCATTTTCCCATTTTAGTAAAGTCCTAAATTCAGGTTGTTTGTATTATTTTTATTATTAGGAACAAATGAGTAGTGACGATCCTTATAGATAACCTTTGTACACATCCACAGTTTTTTCCATAGGATAAAATCCTAGAAATGGGAGATTTTTATCCCCCAAAGGAAAATGCATGTT